>NC_000011.10:41878181-42181212 GCF_000001405.40 Homo sapiens | reverse complement strand
ACTAGAAATCAGTGTAATGTGTGTTTCTTCAGAATTTTTAATTTCTTTAATCTTGCCCTCCTCTTTGTTTGTGTATAAGCAGAAAACCTCTTCTGAAAGCATGTTGCTAGTTCTTTAATATAGTTTAAGAATCTCTGACACAGTCATAAAAAGCCCTTCTTCTCTCCCTTTCTGGCCATTCAAGAACAGAAAGACATTATTCAGATTCCAGAAATAAGTATTTTCTTATATAAATTTCTTTCAAAAAGGTTTTGAGGCAGAATGGAAAGGCATGGAATAAATCAGAACAAAATAAGAATAGCAGAAATAGTAAAGAGAGATGCAAGAAGGGTTGGGAAATTTAGTACTGTAAGCTTTTGAAAGATGGTTAGAACTTTCAGTTCTAATTTTGCTGAATTTTTTCTGTGAGCTGCCCCATAACAAAGCAAATTTAGAAGATCCTCAATATGTGTAAGCCAAAATCAACAAGTCCGGTTGAATAAAGGAATGATAAAATTACAAAGTCACCATTTTCTGACAGCCAATGCAGTAACTGATATAGACAAGCATTATCGAAGGATACTAGAAAGTATTTCCCCTGTCTCTGAAATACTTTTAGGGAGCAGGATATTAACATGGTCTCAAAGTATCTCTCCACAGTTTACCTAATAATTCCAAAGAAGAATTTACCTTCATATAAAATGATTCACTTGGCGTATTTATCAAGTTCTCAGTCTTCGCCTCATTGATAGTGGGAAAACCCTAGCATATATGCCTCCTGGTGGGATGCAGAAAGAAGTAAACATCTTCATGTAGTTTTCCTACCACAATCGTCTTAACTTGAATCTAATGATGAGGAAATCAACAAATTCAGAATGTGACAAGATCTGATTTTCTAATTGTTAAGTAGTAAGTACCTCCATGTCAAGGAGAACTTTTTCTGTTATGTTTTCATTCCACCACAACAAATGTTTGTAATTCACTGATCTTAAATCAAGCTTCAAGGATACCTGTTACTTTGACACTAGCTTTATTCTTAGAAGATTGATTTTTTCCTTCCTTAGGCTATGCAAGCTACCTGTTTGTCTAGTCAACTGATGGAGCACACAGGCTCCCAAACAGGTGGCAAATTAAGTTGATTTAGTTTTTTCTTAAATAATTATTTTAACTGGTTCCAACGTGACTTTTAGAACTGACATGGTAATAACTAGCATATAGGTAGTGTTATGCAAGAAAGGTTTTTATCTCCTAGTGCTTGAAAAGAGTGTGTTCTTGGGATATATTCCAATAACATGTCTTCTATATTAGAAAATAATAAGTCTTGCGAGAGGGAGTGATGTCAATTCTGAATCTTCCTAGAACTGAATGGTGTCCCCTGGTGTTTATTCTTATGACTTGAACTTATTGTCCTCAAATGGGCAATTACTTGATGGTAAAATGTTAATTGCCTCAAATGGGCAATTAAAATTTTAGTCAGAAATTTTCCAACTTTTTGTGTTTCCATTAACATAAAAAGGGCAGCTAAATAGTCCTGTTGAATTAATGGGTCAAAGGGTAATGGGGGAATGAATGTGACTAGGAATATGCCCAATGATTTTCCTCTCACTATCTGTTAAAAAGTTTCAATGACCTTAATCAGAATTCTTCATTTGATAGCAATCATTTACAAAAGACATTAAAAAAATACCCATTAGATTTCCCCTGGGGAGACAATTTTGGAAGTTGTAATTTTCCACTCTAAGTATGAATAGCTTCACCGTGGAAAGAAGTCTTCACATGGATAATGACAATAATGCAGTTTAATCTTTAAAGCACCCAGCCTGAAGGCCTCTTAAATGGGAAACAGATGTGCTGTGTATCTTCACTTTTTACTCAGCAGCAGCGCAGACAATTGATAAAGAACCAGGGCCTTAGATGGGGCTGGAGGAAGACTCTTGTCTAATGACCTAAGCCACAATATTCAGCAGAGAAAAAAATCATGGCAATGATATTGACTAAACACTTAGGATGCACCAAGCACCTTGATAGGCAGTTTACATGCATTGTTTTACTCAAATCTGACAGTAACACTACTGTCAATCTGGTGCTATTGTTATTTTTGTTCTAAAGTTGAGAAAACTGAGACTTAGGGAGTTTAAGAGTATTACCTGATGTCACAAATGATTAACAAATATCAGATAATCTTATCTAGAAACCATGTTCTTAAGTAAAGAAAACCACCAAATTGTATTTCTGTTTATTGAGTTCTGCAGGTTGATTTTCACACATCAGCCTAAGCCTTTAGAAGAACCCTCAAGGTAAGTATTATTCTAAGTGTAGCAATATAAAAACTGAGATTTGGAAGCATTAAGTACCTTGCCTATAGTTATTCTTTTGTTCATTGGCTGATGCTTACACAGGTGAGGGCCCTTCCAAAACTGTGTCATTTAGATGCCTCTATCTTTTACTTTATTGTGCCTTTATTTATTTAATTGTTTTATTTATTGTTTTATTTATTATTGTTTTATTTATAGTTTTATTTATTGTGCCTTTCTGTTATGTTTCTGCTTGTATAAAACAGCATGACATTATGCAAAATATTTTGACTTAAGTTTTTCTCATAGGTAATGCTAGGATGATCAAAAAATATGACCATGGTGAATGGAATTTTTGTCAAACTTGGTATAAAAATAATCTCAGGTTCCAATGATAATTACAACAGATTGAGCTAATCTTACACTTTTAAATAAGAATGTTACATAAGTGGAAAAGACCATGTCTTATGCTACTCTCTGTCCAAAATACTGCTGCAAGTATTTTGGATATAGTTAAAAATCTAATTAATTTGGCAGAGATTAATTGTCCCTCAATATCCACTCTTGTAACAGAAATTGTTCCCCAATATCTGTTCCTTACGACTTTCTTTTAGTACTAGAACTTCTCAACCACCACATATGGTATAATCATGTGACAGATCTCATACTCAACCAGATTGAGACTGCATTTCCAAGCTTTCTTTGCAAATGGTATGATGATATGAGTAAATTAATTCCATGGAATGTGAGAGGAAGTGAAGGGCTTAACTTCAAGCCCATGTCCTGAAAAGAAAACTGCTTGTTCACCATTTCTTCTCTAGCCCTTTCTCTTGGTCTAAAGGAGAAAGTTGTACTAGTGGGGGTAGATTCAGCCATGCAGACATGAGAAAACCACCTTAGTGAATAGTGGATAACAAGTTAGAAGGGAACTGTGCTCCTGGACAACCTCCCGAAGGAAAACTGCCCACTTGCCATAGAATAGCCACTTATGTCTGAACTGAAACAAAAATAAACATGTATCTTTCTTGAGTTACTGTATTTTGTGTCTCCATTACATGAGCTTAAGCATATCAGTATCATATTATACCAGCGTTTGCTGAAATAAAGAACAAATCAAGACCCATGGTCTAAATCAGGAAAGTTTTATGGATTATAAATTATTTTATATCATGAACTCTATATTTTCTAGTAGATTCATAGTGACATATTATATGGCCTTGTGGGCTCAATTGTGGACCCCCAAAATTCATATATTGACGTCTCATCTCAGTATATGACTGTATTTGGAGATAAGATCTTTAAAGAGGTGACTAAGATTGATGGAAGCTTTAGAGTGAGCCCTAATCCTATATGACTTGTATCCTTATAGAAAGATGGGATTAGGGAACAAATACAGTCATTTCTTGGTATCCATGAGGCTGTGGTTTCAGGACCCTCTGAGAAATCCACAGATGCTCAAGTTCCTTTTATGAAATGGCATAGTATTTGCATATAACCTATCCACATCTTCTTGTACATTTCTAGATTACTTATAATACCTAATACAATGTAAATGTGATAGTTGTTATACTGTAGTTTTTTATTTGTATTATATTGTTGTATAGTGTTTTGTTGCGTTGCTATTTCTTTGTAAAACTTATTGTATTATTTTATTGTTATTTGTTATCTTTTTTGAACATTTTGATCTGCAGTTGATTGAATGTGTGGATATAGATCTCACAGATGTGGAGGGCTGGCTGTGTACACACACAGGGAGAAGACTGTATGAAGATACCAGCAAAAGGCAGCCATCTACAAGCCAAAGAGAGAAGCCTTGGGATGAACTAATCCTGCTGAAATCATGACCTTGCATATTTTGCCTCTAGAATTGTGAGAAAATAAAGTTCTGTGCTTTAAGGCACCCTGTCTGTGGTCCCTTGTTATGGTAGCTTAAGCAAATATATAGGAAAAGTTTGGAGTCTCCTAAAGACTCCCAAATATGTTCAGTAAGCTATCTTCATAAGAATTATAATATATACATCATCATGAAATAGATGACAGATGAGAAATCAATCAGATAAGAACATTAAGAGTGCTTACTGTGTACCAGGAAATATTCTGTGAGTTGGGAATAAGACAATGTCCAAGACAGATTGAATGCATGAATCTTATTTCCTGGTGCTTGAATTCTCACTTAAAAAAAACAACAACAGGATAAAAAGTGATACGTTGGAAGTGAATAGTCCACTTCATTCATATTGGGCATTTAGAAAAAGCCTCTCTGAACAGTAATTTTTGTGCTGAGAACTAAATGACAAAAATATGTCAACCATGCAAATTGGGGGTGGCGTGGGCTAAAAGTTTCAGGCAGAAGAGACAGCCTGTATAAAGGTACAGAAATAAAATTGAGCTTGGCTTGTCCAAGGGACAGACAGAACATATTATTTCTGGAGTATCTTTAGTGAGGAGTGAATTTTATGTGATGTGATATCAGAGGTAGACAAGTGTCAAGAGAGTGTGGGCCATGGTGAGGAGCTTGGATTTTATTCTAAGTGGGTTGAAAAGCAGGTGGGCAGTATGTTCCATTTTTCATTATAAAAGATCATTTGGGCAGCTGTGTGGTAACTGATGAAAGTGTGTGGGAATGGAGGCAGGGAAAAAGTGAAGAGGTTATTGTGGAGATGTTTCCAATTACTCTTCCCTCATTTTTCAAATCGCAGCTCAGTGTCACCTCCTCTGGATGTTTGCCTGTATTCATGGACAATACTCAATTGCTGACTCCTCTTGGATTTCCCAGCATGTGTTTAAACCTTTAAGATGGCACCTATTATATTGATACTATGTTTTTCTGCCCTGTATTCTGAGAACAGCAAATATTGGTGAATTTGTAACTATGTCTTATTTTTCCTTATAATCTCTGTGTCTATCATAGGCTTTGGCATGTAATAGGTTCTTGGTAAACCTATTTATCTAGTTGATTAAATAAATAAGTTGTATTATTTGTACTTGTTGTATAAGTTATATAATATATGTGTTCAAAGATACAGTCACAGTAAGAGCCAGAGAGGACAGGATCAGAATGGATTCAGATTTCACCACAAGTGAAGATACTCTAGTCAAATTATGAAGACAATCAGAAAATTAAAAGATTTCTTTGCCCATTTTCAATTGCCTTTTGCAAAGGGAAAGCTCGTGCCAAGACACTTTCTGAAACAGGAGCTTTATCCCTGCTTCTTTTATAATATTAACTAGGCTGTCCTTATCTATAATGTTCCCTGTATGTCCTCCCAGCCTTCCCTAGCTCCAAGGGCCATGAGCATGTGAGTAAATATTGTCTGCAATGATTCCAGCACCTCTGGCACCTTGTTAAGCAAAACTTGGTACAATACTTGGGGAATAACTTCTCAAAGTCAACAAATTGTGCTGAAGGGCAGATTCAGTTGCCTCTAATGTAAGAAACCAGTCCTTTGGGAATCTGCAGAGAAGAAGCTGAAGTCAAATCTTAGACTGAATTGTCTGACTCTGAATCACAAATATTTATGATAATACAGAATTCAGCTTGTTAACCACTATGATTCAGCAAATATTTAATCAGCAACTGATGCGTGCCAGGCCTTGTGCTAGCCACTGTGGGTTTGATGATGAATGAGATACACTCTGCTTTCATGGTACCCATGATACATCCAGGAGAGATCAGTAGTTAAAAATAATCACTATTTTGGCAGAACCATGAAGGCAGTGAATGTATTTGATATGTTCACTCTGTGAGTCTTTGGGATAGTTCCTGAGACAGTAAGCTTCTGCAAATATTTCATGGGCAGATTAAAAACAATATTGGATGGTATAAATAAAAAATAGGATCGTATTCAAGGAGCCATACTCTGATGAACTCTGTGGTGGAAGAGACAACAGGCCCTGGGGGAAGACTTCATGGAGGCAAGAAGAGCCAATATTCTAAACGGTGGTGCTATGCCATATGGGAGGGTGTGGAATGGAAAATGAGAACTGAGATTGGGAGAATGGAACTTTCCCAGCACTGGGAACAATGTGTACAAATATATGGAACTTTGAAAGAGAATGATAGGTACTGAAAAGGAAAGTGGTTTACAGAAGATGCAGAATATGATGTAAAGCAACTTACATTTAAAAGGACAGGGGGCACCATAAACAGGTAAAGGAGAATGACTTGTGTTGCAAAGAACTAGTAAAAATGGCAGTTCCTTCAGCTTAAAAATATTAGTTCTGGCTCATATAAAATATGACTTTATGTCAAGGGCTTCCCTAAAATGTATGCCACCACTGTTTGAATTAGGAATTCAGAGATCTGGCATATCCACCCAACTGCAGGGGATGTGTTTTACCACTTTTGAGTCCTGGAGCATTTGTATTCAGAGATGGGAAATGGACCAAAGTCTACTACTTAGAAGTCGTTTTGCAGTTGGATTTTGCAGAATTTCTTTTTCTGCTGAATAAATTTAGACTTATTAAGTTTTGAACTCAGGAACTGTATCTGAGTTATATTAGCAATACTTGTAAGTATACTCCTTTGCTTTTGTCTTCTAATGAAGCCATAGAAAGATAATAGATCCATTTTTCTTTATTATGCTAGAGACTTTAAATACAAACCAAACATCAGAAGTGACAAGGTGTGGTGGAAAGAAGAAAGCTATTGACCTGAAAAGATCTAAGGTCAAGATGCTATTTTTCTAGCTTCTACCTAAGTGAGTCTTTAGCTTCCGAGTCTCAGTCTCCTCATAGTGATAAAAGGAATTACAAAATTTGTCACAAATACTAAAAAGCCCCACATAAAAATTAATCTTAATGTGTAATAATAGTAATATTAATGGCCATTTACTGAGTGTTTGCTACATATCCACCCTGCTAAAGTCTCTTTTATAATTATTATTTCACTTAATCATCTTAATTACCCTGAGAGATTTATATTTTTCTTACTTTTATAATTTGCAAATAATGAAACTGAATTTCAAAGAGATAAACTCTTTATAAGATGTACAAATATAAACATTAGTAATATTTGTACTTATTTAAAAATCTTCATTTTTTGATATTTCTTTTAGGTAGATACTAATATACTTAGGAATAAATCCTAAAGTGGGAGAAATTTTGGCTTTGAAAATAGATATTGATAACTCCCTTGCATTCTCAGAGTAATTAATGAATGCAATAGTGATCATTGTATTAATAACAGCCAACATTTATTGAGAGCTTACTGTCTGTATGAGACAGTATGCTAAATTTTTTACATGGGCTATAACATTGGTCCCTCACAATAATACATGTATAATATTTTAGGCATTTTATATCTTACTACTATTTTTATGATGAGAAAAGTGAGGCTCAGAAGAGCAAAGAGATTTTTCCAATGTCAAGCAGAAAGTGGAGGAGATAGAATTTCAGCCGAGCTAATCTTAACCTAATCAAGCGAGTGCTGCTATACTTATCCAAGACTTTCAATTATGCATTACTACATATTGTTCGTATTGCAACACAGCATTTACAAAAACACCATATTTATTTCAGCCTTCTGTTCTCATGTATACCTGCATTTCATAATAATTATCAATCTCTGTTAAATCTTCACTATTTCTCAGTGTTGCATGTGGGGAAGGAGTGGTTGGCACTAAAAATATGAAAATCTGAAGACAGGTGGTCTGCAATAGACATCTTGCAGCCCATTTCTGAATCAATTTCCAATTCACTAGACAGTGTGTGTCTATTAGGAACAACAGTATTTGCCAATGTTGGCAACTGACAATTATGTTTCTACCCTATCAATATGGTCTCTACTCCCACTATCCAATTTCTTTACCTAATTGGGAAAGAAATAAAAATACTTGCCAAACCTATTTTAAGCACCATTAAATATATTTTTATCATTGTATTTCTAAAACTTTATTTTCTTATATATTTCAATAATATATCTAATAAAACGTAGATGTCTTGGATGTCAAGGGACCTTCCCCCAACCTCCTTTCCTCTAGTATCTAAAATTGTGCCATTCCTTTTGAGTAAAAAGATATGATTTCTTTGCATTGCTTTGTTACCATGGTTATTCATTCAATTAATGTTTACTAAGCGCCTCCCATGTGTCAGACAGGAGGAGTAGACAATCTGGCAAGAGAGAGAAAAGTAACAAATTAATAAGGTAATTTTGAACAAAGATAAATTTTATGGCAGTGCCATAAAATAGAAAAATGGATTAAGAAAAAGTGAGAGGGCGTAAGACAGTCTCAGTTAGGAGTTAACGTTTGAGCTGGGACCCAAATGATCAGAACGAATCAGCCTGTGAACATGTGGGAAGGAGCCTTCCAAGGGGAGGTAGCAGCAAATGCAAAATCCCTGAGGAAGAAGCAAGCTTAGTGTGTTACAGAAATTAAAATACTTCAATGAAGTTTTAACAGAGAGAGCAATGAGGATATCTTGGTGCAAAATGAGATCATAGAATAGGAAGGGAATTGGATTCAGTATAGTCTTCTGCATCATGGCAAGA
The DNA here is from genome assembly GCF_000001405.40 of Homo sapiens. Classification (NCBI taxonomy): domain Eukaryota; kingdom Metazoa; phylum Chordata; class Mammalia; order Primates; family Hominidae; genus Homo; species Homo sapiens. The sequence continues at coordinate 42,172,449 of NC_000011.10, read as the reverse complement.
TCCTTGGACTTTATCCTGAGAGTATGTTAATTTTAATAAACATTAAATACAGAAAAATTTTAAGTGAAAATTGACGGAGTTTTCCTAACATCATATGAAAAAGGATTATGAAAATATTTCATCGGTGGAAGCAGTGACCCGATTATGGCATCCTAATTATATGGGGACCCAAGAGATAGAAAGTAAACTAAAGGTAGATCTGGGACCTAAAGAAGAAGTAGGGTGAGCTCAAATAAAGGACAACACATTTTTTTTTTCAAGCTCAGCCTTCATGGTACCAACTAAATGAATTAATAATTTGTGGCCACTTTATCTACTTTCCTTTTTTTTTCCTAAGTGACACAGAGAGAGTACTCTTGGAATCCATCTCTCCTGCTCTCAGTCCAAGGACTTTGGCTGCTGTTGACTCCACCCCATATTTCTGGGGGTATGGAAAGGATTTTTGTTTGACCAGTTGCTTCTCATTGCCCTGGCCACAACATTGGTTGAGACATGGCCATATGCCCCCAGTTGGCCTAATGAGTGCTCCTTCAATATTCCTGTTTAAATTTCTGGAAAAAAATGTTCTTTTTCTAGACACCAACATGGAAGGGTGTATGTCTTGAGTTACTAGTAACTATCTTGCTTCCACCTGAGCCACGATGAAAGAGCGTAAACCTGAGCAATAGAGAGTAGGTCTTTGTAACATAGTTTGAACTCTAGACCTTAGCTTATGTCAGCCAAGCCCTGCAGAATTCACTCCAGACAGTTTATACAAAAAAAAAGCATATTTTAATGGTACAATTATTTATGAAAGGACTAGCAAAATTCCGTGCCTGTAATCCCAGCTACTCAGAAGACTGAAGCAGGAGAATCGCTTGAACCCAGGAGGCGGAGGTTGCAGTGAGCCGAGATCACGCCATTGCACTCCAGCCCGGGGAACAAGAGCGAAACTCCATCTCAGAAAAAAAAATGATAATAATAAATAAGAAAGGATGAGACACTCAAAGTCTAGAGAAAATGAAAAGTTGTTACCATCTCTGGAACTGAAGGAACCAGGGAAAGAAAGTGCTATTCCAGCTCAATAAAAGCTGCAATAGTCACGATGTGTCTTGTGGGGGTGTCAGATAGTGCTAGAGAGGTGGACACAGCCCTGAAGAATGGAGAGAGTTGAAAGGAAATGCTCTGGTATTTTTCTCAGTTAGCTCTTCAGTCTCTAGCTGGTACCTCCCTTTGTCATCACTCAACTTCAAGGAAGTCAGTGAGGCAATTAACAGAAATCATCCTCCAGTGTCATGGAGAAGGCTGAAGAAAGGTGGAAAATGCATGGGGAGTGGGATGAAAATAGGATAACTTGCACAAAGTTAAATGAAACTCATATAATTTTTCATATATAAGAGCTAAAATGTTCTTGCATCCTTACTCTCATTTCTGAGGCAACTAGAAAGTGGTATTCTGTCCCTTGCAATTTAAAAGACTAACTTATAAATCCTTGGATCTTGAAAAATTAGAGTAACCTCTCCATATGGAAATCTTTTATTACAGTGTTTATCTTGCTCTGCAGAGGGTCAGAGTAATCTTGAAATATCCAGTTATGCAATTAATAAGTGAAATGTATGTACACATTGTTCCAGTTCTTTCTGCAGAGACCAGCTGGGAAAGAGATCATGAGTCAGTGATTCTTCCATATCCATCAGGCTGGAATATTAATAGGATGAGTGGAGTGGTTGGAATATTTTCATGTCTAGTTTAATGTGGACGGGTAGATATTCATGTGATGGCAATTTCTTTTCACACAGAGCTCAGTGGGAACACTCCTTCAAGTTCAATGAGTACAGTGGGGCATTTAAAGTTGGAAAAAGAGAGATATACATGTTTCTGTGAGACGTAAATGAATGATTAGATATGCCTTAGGTCTTTAGACCCAGGAAAGTATCTCCTCTGATTATTCAAAATGGAATTCTATATTATAAATGTAGAGATGAAGAAAAAGTAGCAAATTAACATTAAACCTTGTCATCTGGAAGGGAGGTCACAAAATTTACCTCTTTCTTTTTACAGGTGTGGAAAGTGTAAGCCAAAGAGATGAAGTGACTTGCTGAATGTCACCCAGCTAGTTAGTGGCCTAACTAGAAATGGAGCCTGAATTTCCTAAACCTCAGCTTTATGCATTTCATCCTACTGTATAATCTATAGTTTGCAATGCAAAAACAGAAATTATAAGCAAGGTGTTTACCTTCTTCACAATAAAATATGTCTGTCATAGGGTATGATACCTTCTGGTTTTTAACCATTGGCACTTCCCTGGAGTTCAAGTAGTGATTCTAATGACAAATATACATTTTCCTTTTCATATTTTATGTATGATCTTGCCCAACCAAGTCAGTCCTCTGTAATCATAGAATGATGTTCATAAGGGCACTATGGATACGTCAATGTGTTGCGACTCAGAAGTCCCTCTGTTATTCATATTAGCATCATGGTAAATATAGTGCCTCTCTCTGCTGTCTCAAAATGTCAGCATGTAAAGAACTAAGCATGAGTGACTCCTTTTGCATATCATTGGACTTTTGATTAAGATAACTAGACTCTGAGTTTTATGACAAACACTTAAAACTTCTTTGTTCAGAGTTAATAAGCAGACATTGATTTTTGCATTTGATAATTAACTACAAACTATCTTGGGTAATCCGATCGAAAAACTGGCAGTATCTAGGGCCTCCCAGTTTTAAGAACTTGCAGAATGGCTTGGTTTAGGCTTCTTATTTATCTCTCTTTCTATTTTACCCTAAAGAAGCAATAAGGGATTTGCTGCATTTGCCATTTTTAGTGGTTTGGTCTCTCTCCTGATGTGACAGCAACATTGGGCCAGCAGGTCAGGTTTGATTTACTCTGTAATGAGGCTTTGGGGACAGTTTTCTCTACTAATCCCTTACTTCTAAATGTTGCCATTCTGTAATTCCCTGAAAGACTTGCTGATCGTGTGAAATGTCAATGTCATTGTTATTTCTTTGAACTTGAGTTATTTCAGTCTTGTACCTCAAGCCCTAAATGAAGTTCCCAAACCATAAATAAATGCAATAATTGGCCCAAACCACAGTCACACTGGCAAGTCTTTGATATATTGCTAAACAGTCATATGCTTCTCTTAGAATCAAAGCATTTCGAAGTTAGTTGAGGCCTTAGAGGTCATTTGCTTCTACTCTTTATTCTACCTTCTAGTTATATTGCAACTAAAGTATCAAAGGTCACTCAGTCCTTTGATATTTAAAGAAAATTGGTTTGAACTTCCTTACCCCTCATCCTGTGAAAGTAGTGATCTTCCATAGATTTTTGCAAATTTTCCACATGTTTATATTAGCTTCTCACTTCTCTTCTCAATGACCTGCCTATCTGAATTCCATTTTTTTCCCTTCTCTCAGCCATGCACCAGTGAGGCATGGTATTCTTCTCTTTTCCCTTGATTTTCTCCAAATACTAGTTGAACAGGACATCTGTGGGTATATGAAACTTTACTGAAGACCTCATGCAAGTTGTGTGTCAACACAACCAGCAAGGGGGCATGACAAAGAGAAGCTGGTTAGGGCTACAAAAATACAGTTAGAAGGAAGAAGTTCTGCTATTTGATAGTACAGTAGGGAAATTGTAGTTAATAGGCCGGGCAAGGTGTCTCACACCTGTAATCCCAGCACTTTGGGAGGCCAAGGCGGGCAGATCACGAGGTCAGGAGATCCAAACCATTCTGGCTAACACGGTGAAACCCCATCTCCACTAAAAAATACAAAAAAAAATTAGCCGGGCGTGGTGGCGGGAGCCTGTTAGTCCCAGCTACTGGGGAGGCTGAGGCAGGAGAATGGCATGAACCCGGGAGGCGGAGCTTGCAGTGAGCTGAGATTGCGCCACTGCATTCCAGCCTGGGCGACAGAGCGAGACTCCGTCTCAAAAAAAAAAAAAATTTATAGTTAATAATACTTTATGGTATATTTCAAAATAACTAGAAGAAAAGCCTTGTCATGTTCCCAACACAAAAGAAAGATAAATCTTTGAGGCGATGGATACTCCAATTACCCTGATTTGATAATTACACATTGTATACAGATACCAAAATATTATATGTACACCCCAAAATATGTACAACGGTTATATGTCAACTTAAAAAAGAAAATATACAAATAAATAAGCAAATTAAATAGAAAGTAAAATTGCCCCAGCTTTAAAATTCCTTCTTAGTTTCTCATAGTTCTTTATAATGCCTCAATTTTCTGTGTTTCCTTCTAGTTCATCATAAAATTATTCAATTTCTTTTAATTTAATTAAATAATTTCTGGTCACATTGTACAAAAACTATTCACAAAGGGCCTTATCTGAATTAATAAATATAACCAGTAGAGTGGATTCTTAAATACAAACTATTCTTTTTACCTAAGAGGAACTCTACTACTTAACAATTTTTTCTCACCCTCTCTCTCTCCCTTTATTTATTTCTCCTTTTTCTTCTTTCTTTCCTGCCTTCATTCACTCATCTACTCTCCTCTTTTCTTTCTCTCCTCCTATGTTAAGACTATAAAAGTTTTACAACTAAAAGATAAAACACAAAAACTGGATATCTTCCTCCTTAAAGTGTAATCAGATGAAATTAAATTTCTTAGGTTTAAAGATATTGCCCAAGGAAACATACATTCAAAATTTATTGTTAAAAAACATACAAATTTCGGTATGTTGAAAATAAGGGTGTTTTCATTCCCATTTTTTGAGTTTCATTCTTGGGCCATTGTGTCAAGGAATGATTTTCTATGTTAGCATGTTAATAAAGGTATATGTAGTAAATACAGATTCTGAGAAACCTATGTTAAATGTAATGCCGATTTACATGTTATTAGGGATTATGAATTTTGAAAAAACAAGAATCAACACTTTTCCTTGAAATTTTAGCATAAACATGATTTTTACCTGTTTCTTTAAAGTTTGCAGTTTAATTCCTGCCACAATTCACCTCCCAATTTTTGTTCTAGTCTATATGTAATTAATTTTTCTGTATGCTGTAAAGTAGAAGCCAAAAAGTTCATTTTTAAATAGAATATCCAGTGGAGCAAGAAGTGCTAATTAAAGGACTGTCCTTTCCATGCCAAATTTCAGTGGCGTCTAGGTTCAAAATCAAGTGTTGTTGTATATGTATCTGTGTCTGGGCTGCTTATTCTGTTCCATTAGATTTTCGCATGGATACTACATTGTTTTAGACATTTTAGTGTTAAAATAATTCTTGATATTTAATACTGTAAGTCTTTTAGCTTTGCACTCCTTTTCTAAGATCATCTTGGTTATCCTAGGTCATTTTCACTGCTAATCATTAAAATTAGTGGTACATTTTTGCTTAAGGTCCTGGTGGGATTTAATTAAGATTGCATTAGATTTATTTATAAATAAAATTGGGGAGAATTGACTCTTCATAATATTATGTCTTCCAATTCATGAACAGGGTATATGATATATTCCTTCTCTAAATTTATCCTGAGATTTTCATATCTTTTGTACTATTGAAAATAATGCCTGTAAAATGTATAAACAATTGTGTGGTACTAATCTCTAGAAATGCAATTGATTTCTCTATATTAGCATTTTATTCAGTAATCTTTATTATTTCTAACAGTTTATTTTCAGAATCATTTTGTTTTTTGTGTGCATAAATATGTCATCTGTAAATAATAGTAATTTTTATTTCTTTCTCATATATATTTTTTTGAGACAGAGTCTTGCTCTGTTGCCCAGGCTGGAGGACAGTGGTGTGATCTTGGCTGACTGCAACCTCTGCTTCCTGGGTTCAAGTGATTCTCATGTCTCAGCCTCCCTAGTAGCTGAGATTACAGGTGCACGCCACCACACTCGACTAATTTTTTTATTGTTAGTTTTAGTGGAGATGGGGTTTCACCATGTTGGCCAGGCTGGTCTTGAATTCCTGACCTCAAGGGATCCACCCACCTCAGCCTCCCAAAGTGCTGGGATTACACGTGTTAGCAACCATGCCTGGACTTTCTCATATATTTTATTTTGTTGCCTTATTACATTTTCTCTATTGCACTGACATTTACTACATTATCTCTAATAATATGTTTAATAGAATTGGAGGTAATGGGCATTTTTATCTTGTTTTTATCCTGCAAAAGAAAACATTCAATGTTTTATTGTATTTTTTCTTCTGAGAGTTTTTACTGTTTGTCTATTGCTTTTTTTGCATATACTTTTTACTAGACTGAAAACATTCTATTCCTCGTTTTCTGAGAATATTCCTTGTTGTTATTTAATGAATAGATATTGGAATTTATCAAATGGTTGTTCTACACTTATTGAGATACTGATATAATTTTTTTCTCTTTATTCTGTTAACATGGCGCATAGTATTCATGAGTTTTCAGTTTTAATTGGAATTTTATGCTCCTGGAATGAACATTTGTTTATTGACATAATTTTTACTTAATGCTAATAAGATACAATATTTATTTAATCAAAGATTATAATAATTTATATTACATTGAGGGTTTTTGTGTCCTTATTCCTGGGAGATACTGATCTGTAAATTTCCTTTCTTGCAATATTCCTTACGGTTTTTGATAACCTAGTTATGCCAGGTCATAAAATGTGTATTGAGGCACTTTAACATTTTTTATTCTCTGGAAAAGTTTGTGGAAGATTGTCTTATTCCTTAAATGTTTGAAAAATTTTACCAGTGAGACCATCTGCTGTTGGAGCTGTCTCAATGGGAAGGTTTGAATTAATTTAATATATTAGTAAGTAGAGAGCTACTCAAATTTTGGCTTTTTTAATATCAATTTTGATAAGCTGTGTTTTTCAAATTGTCAGGTTTATTGGCATGGAATTATTAATGATAAGCCTCTTTTAACCTTTTAACATGTGTGGAATATGAAATAATGGCAACATTTGCATTTCTTATATTATCAGTCCATTCTTTTTCCCCTTAATTAGTTTAGTTGGCTGTTTATCAATTTATGTTTAAAAACATAAGCTTCTCATTTGGTGGATTTTTTTCTTACTTAATGTTTTCTATTTCTTGGTTACATCATTTTACTTGCTTTGGATTTAATTCAATGTTCTTTGCCAGCTTTTTGGAAAGAAGTTTAGCTCATTGCTTATCAAACTATCTTGTTGTTTAGTATATACATTTTCCTCTGAACACCGTAGTAGCTGAATTGCACACATTTGGCATGTGATAACACTATTGTAACTCCTTGAAAAATATTCTCAAATTTTCATTTTGATAATTTTCTTTGACCCAGTAAGTATCTAGAAGTAACTTTCTTAATGTCCAGGATTCAGAGTTTGTCTAGTTATAATGTTATTATTGAGTTTCACTGAAATTTAATTGTGATCATAAAACAAAACACGATATCACCTTGGATAATTACAGATACTTGTTTTATGGCTCAACAGATGGTTTGGGAAATCTTTCACATGCACTTGAGAAAAATGTTACTGTGAAGTTTTACAGATCTTCCATTCTTTATTGATTTTTGGTCAACTTTTTCTAGCAGTTTCTCACAAAACTATGTTCAAATCTCAAAATTAATTGTGGGTTATTTTATTTTCACTTTTAGCTCTGTTAGCTTGACATCATATAATTTAAAACTATATTATAAAACCTATAAATTTAGTATTGTTATATTTCTCTGTTGAATTGATGCTTTAGCTATTATGGAATGTTTTATCTCCATTAATATTTGTCACCTCAAAATAGTGTTTGCTTCATATAATATGATAATTTTTATTGGTGTTTGCATTGTATATATTATCATTTTAATTTCGAGATGTTTTGTTTCCTATTTTTGAATTGTGTATCTTATATAGAAAGCATATAGTTTATGTTCTAATTTTTAAAAGTGCACTTACAATTTATTGGCAGATGCATATATGTGTGTAAGTATGTGTGTGTGTGTGTGTGTATAATTTGTTGAGTTTTGACATATGTATGTATGTATATGTGTGTAAGTGTATGTGTGTGTATATATATATTTTTTTGTTGAATTTTGACACATGTATATATCCATGAAAGTAAAACCAAAATCAAGAAAATTTACATGACATCCCCTCAAATTTTCTTGTGCCCTGTTGAATTTCCTTCTTTCTCTCTGTCATATACAATGTTATTAATGTGCATTCTGTCACTGTAGTTTCTAGAATTTCCATACAGATTTATTCCCTATAATTTTATGCACAAATTTAATCAGGAAGGCAGTACTTTGTTTTCATCTGGCTTTTTTCACTCAGCATATTATTTTGAGATTCACCCATATTGTTTTGTGTATAAATACATTGTTTTTCATTTTTGTTGCTGAGTAGTATTCCAATATATGGGTATACCATGACTTGTTTATTCATCCACCTGTTGATTGATATTTGACTTGTTTCCAGTTTGGAAATATTATTTTAAAAAATGCTGCTATGAACATTTGTGTACAAATCTTTATGTGAATATATACTTGCATTTATCTTGTGTAGAAACTTAGTAATTGAATAACTAACTGGGTCAAATGGTACTTTATTTTTGTCTTTTTAATAAATTCCTAAAGTGTTTCCAAATTTATTTTCTTTGTACATTTCTCTCAACAGGGTATGAGAGTCATTTGTGGCATAACTTCAACAGACATGACAGGGTAAGTATTTTTAATTGTAGCCATTCTAATTGGTACGTAGTGATATCTCATTGCAATTTTAATTAGCATTTGCCTATGAAAAATGATGTTAATTACTGTTTCATGGCTTTACTCATCATCTGCACATTATTTTGGTAAAATATCTTTTTAAATAATTACCCTTTAAAAATAGTTGATTGCTTATCATTGGGCTATGAGTTATTGATATATTCTAGCTACAGATCATCTGTTGGATATATATTTTACAAATAATTACTTTTAGTTTATTTACAAAGTGACTTTTGGAGATCAAGAGATTAAATTGTGAAAAAGTCTAACTTATTGTTCTTTATTTGATAGTTTGTGTTTTTGTTTTGTATTAAAAAATATTTTCCAAAAGCAGATTCACTGAATTTTTATCTAAATGTTTTATTTTTACACTGATATTTAATTAATTATTTTCTATTGACTATTGATAAATTATGCTTGTAAAAATTCATGGGGTACAAAGTGATGCTCTGATATATGTATACAATTTCAAATAATTGAAGTTGATTAACATATATGGCACCTTAAACACTTGTCATTTATTTCTCCTATCTAAAACATTGTATCCTTTAACTATTGTCTTCCCATTACCCCACTCCCCAGCCTCTGATAATCACCATTCTGTTCTTTGCTTCTATGAATTTGATTGTTTTAGATTCCATATGTAAGTGAGAACATATGGTATTTGTCTCTGCGCCTGGCTTATTTGGGTTATTCTATGTTGTGGCAAATTACATAACTTCCTCTTTAAGTCTGTATCGTATTTTGTTGTGTATACGTACCACATTTTTTTTTTTTTTTTTTGAGACAGGGTTTCACTCTGTCACCAAGGGTGGAGTTGAGTGTCACAATCTCGGCTCACTGCAACCTCCACCTCCTAAACTAAAGCAATCCTCCCACCTTAGCCTCCCATTTAGCGGGGACTATAGGCACAAACCACCACAACTGACAAAGTTTTTTATTTTTAAAATTTTTTTGTAGAGATGGGGTTTCACTATGTTGCCAGGCTGGTCTTGAACTCCTGAGCTCAAGCTATCTGCCCACCTTGGCCTCTCAAAGTGCGGGAATTACAGGCATGAGCCAACATGCCCAGCCACCACATTTTCTTTATCCATTTATCTGTTGATGGACACTTAGGTTGATTCCATAACTTAGCTATTTTGGATAATACGGCAAGAAACATTAGTGTGTAGATTTCTCTTCACCATACTGATTTCAAATCCTTTCAATATATACCCAAAAGTGGAATTACTGGATCATATGGTAATTTTATTTGTTCATTTCTTTGGTGAACCTCCATACTATTTTCCTGAATAGCTATACTAATTTACATTCCCACCTACAGTATACGAGGGTTATCACCCTCACCAACACTTGTTATCTTTCACGATTTTGATAACAGCCATTCTGAAAAATCTCCCTAGCAAGTGGTTTCTCCGCAGCACCTTTGGATTCCTCCTGAAAACCCTCTGTTCTTTTCTACCACATGGCCAGGCTGGAATTTTGCGAATTTTTATGCTCTGCTTCCCTTTTAATTATAAATTTCAATTTCAGATCATTCCTTTGCTCCCATATCTGACCATGAGCAGTTAAAAGCAGCTATGCAACTTCTTGAACACTTTGTTCCTTAGAAATATTTTTCTGACAGATACCTTATGTCATCACTGCTAAATTTAGCTTTCCACAAATTCCCAGGGCATGAAAACAATGTAGTGAATTTCTTTGCTACAGTGTAATAAGGGTGACTTTTTCACTGTTTCCCAATAAGTTGCTCATTTCATCTGAGATCTCCTCAGCATGCCCTTTACAGTGTAGATTTCTATCAGCATTTTGGTAACAACCACTTAAGTAGTCTTTAGCAAGTTTCAAACTTTCCCCCATCTTCCTGTCTTCTTCTAAGCCTGAAAAATTATTCTAAATTTTGCCTATTACCAGTTCCAAAGCTACTTCCACATTTTCAGGTAACTTTATAGCCACAACTTCCTCCTCAGTATCAATTGTCTGTCTTAGTCCATTTATGTTGATATAATGGATCAATTTAAAAAGAAAATAGGCTTAGGTGGCTCATGGTTCTGCAGGCTATACAAGAAATATGGTGTCAGTATCTATATCTGGTGTGGTCCTCAAGTTGCTTCCACTCATGGCAGAAATGGAGGGGAAGAGCAGCCAGTATGTGCAGAGATCACAGGTTGAGAGAAGAAATGAGAAAGAGAGAGAGGATTTGTCAGTTTCTTTTCTAACAGCCAGCTCTTGTGGGAATGAATAGAATGAGGATTCACTTATTACCACAAATATGGAACTAGCCCAGTCATGATAGATCTCTCCCCATGACCCAAACATTTCCCATTAGGCCCCACCTCCAACATTGGGCATCAAATTTCAACATAAGGTTTGACGCATCAAACAAATCAACCTATAGCAGGTAGTATAATCATTTTAACAATATTATATTTTCTAATCCATGAACATGGGGCAGCTGTTCATTAATATATATCTTCTCCAATATTTTTTATCAATGTCTTATAGTTTCCAGTGTACAGATCTTTTACCTCGATTAAATTTATTCTTAGGCATTTCATTTATTTTGAGCTATTGTAAATGGGATTGTTCTCTTAGCTTTTTCCCCAAATTGTTTGTGTATAGAACATTACTGATTTTTATGTATTGATTTTATATCTTGCAACTTTATTCATTTAGTAGTTCAGTTTTTTGGTGACATCTGTAGGATTTTTCATGTGTAAAATCATGTCATCAAGAAATAGTGAAAACGTTATTCTTCCTTTCCTACTTAGATGTCTTTTCTTTCTTTCTCTTGTCTAAGTACTCTGGCAAGAACTTCCAGTACTATGTTGAATAGAATTGATGAGAGTAGACATCCTTGCCTTGTTCCAGATATTGGAGGAAAGGTTTTCAATTTTGCCCCATGGAGTATAATGTTAGCTGTGAGCTTCTCATATATGGTCTTTATTGTGTTGAGACACATTACATGATTACCTAATTTTGAGAGAGTTTACATCATGAAAAGATGTTGAATATTGACAATACTTTTTCTGTGTTTAATGACATGATCACGTGTTTTTTGTTATTTATTCTGTTAATATAACCTATTACGTTTACTCATTTGAATATCTTGAACCATTCTTACATCTCAGGGATAAATCTTGCTTGATCGTTTTGACTATCCTTGTAATGTATTGTTAAATTTGGTTCACTTTTATTTTGTTGAGGATTGTTACGTCTATGTTCCTCAAGGGTGTTGGCCTCCAATTTTCTTTTCTTTTAATGTCTTTTTTTCTGGCATTGGTGCCAGGATAATACTGACTTCAAAAAAGAGTTTGGAAGTATTTCCTCTTCTTCAATGTTTTGAAAGGGTTTGAGAAGAATTTGTATTATTTCCTCTTTAAATGTTTGATAGAATTCAGCAGTGAAACCATCAGGCCCTGGGAATATTTGTTTTGTTTTGTTTTGTTTTGAGACGGAGTCTCTCTGATGCCCAGGCTGGAGTGTAGTGGCATGATCTCGGCTCACTGTGGCCTCCACCTCCCAGGTTCAAATGATTCCTGTGCCTCAGCCTTCCGAGTAGCTGGGATTATAGGCGTATGTCACCATGCCCAGCTAATCTTTGTATTTTCGGCGGAGACAGAGTTTTGCCATATTGGCAAGTCTGGTCTTGTTGGCCTCAAGTGATCCACCTGCCTTGGCTTTCTAAAGTGCTAGGATACAGGCATGAGCCACCGCAACCCAGCCACTGAGAATTTATTTGATAGAATAAATTATCATCACTGATTCAATGTCTTGACTCATTATTGGCCTGATTGGATTTTCTATTTTTTCATGATTTAGTTTGGGTAGGTTTTTGGTGTCTAGGAATTTATTCATTTCATCTAGGTTATACAACTTGTTGGCATGTAATTTTTCGTAGTAATCTTTTTCTGTTTCTATCGTATCATTTGTCATTTCTCCTCTTTTTTCTTATTTTATTTATTTAAGACTTCTTTCTTTTTTCTCAGTTTAGCTAACTTGTTGATTTTTGTTCATCTTTTCAAAAAACTTTTATTTCATTGATTTTTAATTTGTCTTTCTTGTCTCTATTTCATTTGTTTCTACTCTGATCTTTATTATTTTCTTCAATTTGCTAACTTTAGCTTTAGTTTGTTCCTTGTTTTTCTAGTTCCTTGAGATCTAACATTAGGTTGTTTATTTGAACTTTTTTTTAATAAGCATTGGTTGCTATATATGACCCTCTTGGAATTGCTTTTGCTGCATCCCATAAGTTTTGGTATACTGTATTTCCATTTGTCTTAAGATATTTTTAAAAATTTTCCTTTTCATTTTTTTGACCCATCATTGTACAGAAGCATGTGGCTTAATTTCCACATATTTGTGATTTTTTAAAAGTTTTTTGTTGTTGTTATTACTGATTTCTAGTTTTGTATCATTGTGGTCAGAAAATATAGTTGATATAATTTGAATTCTCTTAAATTTAATCAGATTTGTTTTGTGGCCTAACATATGATCTAGCCCAAAGAAGGTTTCATGTGTACTTGAGAAAAACAGATATTCTGTTGTTTGTGGATGGAAAGTTCTTCATATGTCTGTTAGTTCCATTTAAAGTGTAGTTCAAGTCCACAGTTTTCTTAATTTTCTGTTTGAATGATATGTTCATTGTTGAAAATGGGGTATTAAATTCCCCACTATTATTGTGTTGCAATCTTTCTCGCCCTTCAGAGTCCTTAAATTTTAAAAATATATTTAGAATCTCTATTATTGGGTATATGTATATTTATAATTGTTAAAGCCTCTTAATAAATTGACCCCTTTATCATTATAAAATGCCCTAATTGTCTCTTTTTACAGTTTTTGACTTAAAGGATATTTTGTCTGACATAAATGTAGCCAGCTTTCCTCTCTTTTGGTTTCAATTTATTTGAAATCTCTTTTTTTATTCCATCATTTTCAGTGTATGCGTCCTTAAAAGTGACGCGAGTCGATTTTACCTGGTTTTAAGGCTTATAATGTTACAATAATCAAGATATTACTACATTACCTGATTTTAAGGCTTATGATAAGCTGCAATAATCAAGATTATGAAATCTTTAATGAAATATTTAATTAAATAATTATTTATTTAATTCAATTACTATTTAATTGAAATATTTAATGAAATATTGTATTGATTATTGCAGCTTATCATAAGCCTTAAAACTAGGTAATGTAAATACTTCAATTTTTTTTCAAGGTTGTTTTGGATATTCTATGTCTTTTGAAAGGCCATATCATTTTTATAATCACCTTATTAATTTCTACAAAATATACTACTGAGATTTTGATTGGAATTGCATTGAATCTGTAGAAAATTTGTCTGGGGGGACTGATGCTGTAATGATATTAAATTAACTGGTTATTTAATAATAAATATGTGTATATAGTTATTTATGTCTTCTTTAATTTCACTAAGCAATGTTTTGTGGTCTTCTGTGTTTTGGAAGTGTTTTGTCAGATTTTCTTTAAAATATTCTTGAATTTAGATGCTAATGTAATTGTCGTGTATTTGTTAATGTCAGTAACTTATTATTTCTTTTATTTTTGTGTATTCTGCAGCCTCCCTAAATTCATTTATTATGTTTAGGAGCTATTCGGTAAATTGTATAAAATTTCTTCACAGGTTATAATCCCATCTTGATAGAAATCTTTCTTATTTTTCAACATAGATTTATTTTACACCTTTTTTTCTTGCTTTATTACACTGGCTACAACCCCAACTATGCTGACTGGATATGGTGAGGGTATATTTACTTTTTTATAGTCTTAGGTGCAAAATATTTTATCTTTACCTATCAAGTATGACATTAATTATAGACTTTTTAAAAGATTCTCTTTATCAGGCTGTGTAGTTCTACTGTTTTATCCCTCCAGTTTGATAAGAGGTTTTTTTTTAACTCAGAGATGAATTTTAGGTTTTTTTGTTTGTTTGTTTTTGTTTGTTTTTTATTTATTTATTTATTTATTTATTTTATTTATTTTACTTGGTTGTGCTTTTAGAATTTTTTTTAATTTATTATTATTATACTTTAAGTTTTAGGGTACATGTGCACAATGTGCAGGTTAGTTACATATGTATACATGTGCCATGCTGGTGCGCCACACCCACTAACTCGTCATCTAGCATTAGGTATATCTCCCAATGCTATCCCTCCCCCCTCCCCCCACCCCACAACAGTCCCCAGAGTGTGATGTTCCCCTTCCTGTGTCCATGTGTTCTCATTGTTCAATTCCCACCTATGAGTGAGAATATGCGGTGTTTGGTTTTTTGTTCTTGCGATAGTTTACTGAGAATGATGATTTCCAATTTCATCCATGTCCCTACAAAAGACATGAACTCATTATTTTTTATGGCTGCATAGCATTCCATGGTGTATATGTGCCACATTTTCTTAATCCAGTCTATCATTGGTGGACATTTGGGTTGGTTCCAAGTCTTTGCTATTGTGAATAATGCCGCAATAAACATACGTGTGCATGTGTCTTTATAGCAGCATGATTTATAGTCCTTTGGGTATATACCCACTAATGGGATGGCTGGGTCAAATGGTATTTCTAGTTCTAGATCCCTGAGGAATCGCCACACTGACTTCCACAATGGTTGAACTAGTTTACAGTCCCATCAACAGTGTAAAAGTGTTCCTATTTCTCCACATCCTCTCCAGCACCTGTTGTTTCCTGACTTTTTAATGATTGCCATTCTAACTGGTGTGAGATGGTATCTCATTGTGGTTTTGAGTTGCATTTCTCTGATGGCCAGTGAAAATGGTGAGCATTTTTTCATGTGTGTTTTGGCTGCATAAATGTCTTCTTTTGAGAAGTGTCTGTTCATGTCCTTTGCCCACTTTTTGATGGGGTTGTTTGTTTTTTTCTTGTAAATTTGTTTGAGTTCATTGTAGATTCTGGATATTAGCCCTTTGTCAGATGAGTAGGTTGCAAAAATTTTCTCCCATTTTGTAGGTTGCCTGTTCACTCTGATGGTAGTTTCTTTTGCTGTGCAGAAGCTCTTTAGTTTAATTAGATCCCATTTGTCAATTTTGTCTTTTGTTGCCATTGCTTTTGGTGTTTTAGACATGAAGTCCTTGCCCATGCCTATGTCCTGAATGGTAATGCCTAGGTTTTCTTCTAGGGTTTTTATGGTTTTAGGTCTAACGTTTAAGTCTTTAATCCATCTTGAATTGATTTTTGTATAAGGTGTAAGGAAGGGATCCAGTTTCATCTTTCTACAGAATTTTAGGTTTTTTATAAATACTCATTTTGTTTTTCATAAAATAATTAATATTTGTTCTTGTTTTGTCTACTAATACGATATATAACATTAATTTGTTTTCGTATGTTTAACCTTGCATACCTAGAATAAGTCACACTTTGTCATGATGAGTTATTGCTTTTAAATATTGTTATATTGATTTGATTTTCTAAAATTTTGTTAAAAACGTTTACATCTATGTTATTGAGTGATACTAGTCAGTAGATTTTTTTATCGTACTGTCTTTGTCTTATTTTAATGTTAACATAGTGCTTGCCTCAGAGAATGAATGAATAACATCCATTCATCTTTAATTTTTTGAAGGAGGTTGTGTCCAATTATTATTTCTTTCAGAAATATTTGGTAAAATTTTTCAGTGAAGTCATCTGAACCCAAGATAGATCTATAACTACATATTTAATTTTGTTTTGTATTCCTTTGCATTTACTTCACAGTACTGCCTATCTATCTTTTTATTTTTTATTTAGAAATGTCTAATTTGGATTCCAAATAGTTGAAGTTTTAATAGATGTATTTCTTTCTTTTTTTTTTTTTTTTTTTGAGACGGAGTCTTGCCTTGTTGCCCAGGCTGGAGTGCAGTGGCGCCATCTCGGCTCACTGCAAGCTGCGCCTCCTGGGTTCATGCCATTCTCCTGCCTCAGCCTCCCGAGTAGCTGGGACTACAGGCGCCCGCCACCATGCCTGGCTAATTTTTTTGTATTTTTAGTAGAGACAGGGTTTCACCATGTTAGCCAGGATGGTCTCGATCTCCTGACCTCGTGATCCACCTGCCTCGGCCTCTGAAAGTGCTGGGATTACAGGCGTGAGCCACCGCACCCAGCCCTAATAGATGTATTTCTGTAATGAATTTCTAACTATATTTCATTTTGGTCAAAAAGCATATTGACTATGCACTGACTCCTTTAAAATTACATGTTAGTTGTTCTATGGCCAAGGATGGCAAATATTTTGTGGTACTTGAAAAGAATATATGTTTTACTACTGCTGTGTGAAGTGCCCTGTAAATGTCAATTATGTAAAGTTGGTTAATCATGTTTTTTCAGTTTTGTGTATTCTACAAAGTTTCTGTCTACTTCTATTTATCATGAGGAGAATTGTTTTGCCATCACTGTTTTGAATGTTTCTAGTCTAGCACTTTATTCACATTTCGTGTCAGCATTTGAACCTCTATTATTAAATGCAAAAATATTTAGAATTGCTTGTCCTCTTAATTAATAAACTTGTTTAATGTTAAAACGAGTGTTCTTTTCTCTGGTAATATTCTTTACTCCAAAATACACTTTGATATAAATATAGCCTCTACTCATTTTTATTTATGACAGTGTGATATACCTTGTACTACCTTTTTACTTTTGACATATTTATGTCTTTATATTTCAACAGATTTCTTTTAGGTTGTACAGAGTTGGTCCTGCATTTTTATCTAATCTGAAAATAATTGCCTTTTAATTGGATTGTGTAGACTATTTACATTTAATATAATCATTGATATAAGTGGCTTAAATCTACCATATTATTATTTGTATTCCACTTTCCTGTCAATTTTACATTTTATTTTGCTATTTATTTAGATAGCTAAGTTTTGTTTATTCCCTTTTCATTTCTTTTGTTGACTTAATAGCGATAATTTTGTATTTAAATTTTAACAGCTTCTTCATGATGTATAGATTATACTTCTCACAGTATAATCCTTATGTCAATATTTTACCATGTTATGTAAAAATTATTTTTCAACAAAATATTTTTATTTTTTCTCCTAATCTTTGAGCATTTTTATCACACATTTTATCTTTACATGTATTAGAAATCTCATAATTTTTTATCATTTTTTGTTTTATGAAATTTTATTTGCAAAAAAAATAAATTAATAAGAAAACAGGCTGGACGCAGTGGCTCATGTATGTAATCTCAGCACTTTGGGAGGCCGAGGAAAGTGGATCACGAGGTCAGGAGATCAAGACCATCCTGACTAACAGTGAAACCCCAGCTCTACTAAAAACACAAAAAATTAGCTGGGCATGGTGGCATGCACCTGTAGTACCAGCTACTCAGGAGGCTGAGGCAGGAGAATGGCATGAACCCAGCAGGTGGAGGTTGCAGTGAGCCTAGATTGCCCCACTGCATTCCAGCCTGGGTAACAGAGTGAGACTCTGTCAAAAAATAACAATAAAAAAAAAGAAAGAAAAGAAAACAAATAGAGCCGTAAAATATTCCTAATTAATTTCTCAAAAAGGTACAAAGCCAACTCAATGGAGACAGGATAGTCTTTTCAACACCTGATGCTGTAGCAATTTGGCATCTATAGGCAACAACAACAACACAAAAAATAATTAAAACCAAAAAAATAGAAAAAGAGAAACAAAACAAACAATAATCCTTTACCTAAACCTCACTCTTTTACAAAAATTAACTCATGTTGAACTATGGATTTAAATATAAAGCATAAATCTACACTTTTATGAAAACATAGGAAAAAATTCTTTAGGACCTAGAATTGGATGAAGAATTCTTCAGATGACACCAAAATATAATCCATGAAAGAGAAAATATATACCTTGGACTTGATTAAATTTAACAACTTCTGCTGTGTGAACGTCTCTAAGAGGATTATAAACCATACATTGACTGGGAGAAAGTATTGGCAAATATATATCTGACAAAGGCCTTGTATCTAGAACATAAAAAAAACTTCAATTAAAAGTTAAATAAACTGAATAGACAGTGGGAAAAAGACATAGGCATTTTACTGAAAATAATATACAGATTGATTGATGAACATTTGGGTTGTTTGCACTTTTTGGCCATAATAAATAATGCTGTTAAAAGCATTCATGTACAAGCTTCTGCATGTACCTTCATTTCTCTAGTGATTATACCTAGGAATAGAATTTCTGGATTATATGAAAACTTTATATTTTACTATTTTAACAATTCTCAAATTGTCTTCTAAAGCAGCTGTACAATTATATATTCCCAACCAGCAGTGTATGAGGGTTCTAATTTTGGCACTTCCTCACCAACACATTATTATCTGATTATTTGTTTCTGATTATACTAGTGAATGTGAAGTAGTATCCCCATTGTATGGTTTTGTTTTTACTGAACCTATTCATATTTTCTTTTCTTCTTGAGTCTGATTAGTTGTAATTGCTTCCTAGAAAATTGTTTGTAATGTCTAAGTTTTCCTATTAAGTAGCACAAACTTTTAAATTTTATTATTCTCTTTCTTTTTTAGGTCTTTTGTATTTATTTATAGCTGTGTCAACGTTTTATTTTATTTCTCTGAGGTTTTGCCTTCTACAATTTTGCTTGATTAGTTTCACTCAAAGTTTGCTTATTTTGTTATAATTTTTAATAAAACTTTTCAGTTTTGTTAATTACTCTAAAAAATAATATACAGATTAAAAATAATTACATGAAAAGGTGTTCAGCCTTATTAGCTATTGAGGAAATGAAAATTAAAACCAAAGTGATATATCACTACACACCTATCAGCATAGTTAAAATGTGAAATAGTGATAACAACAAATGCTTGCAATAATCTGGAGAAACCAAATCACTCACATTTTTGGTGTGAATGCAAAATAGCATATCCAGTCTAGAAAAAAATTAACAATTATTTTAAAACTACAAATGGATTTAGAATATGACTCAGAAATTGTACTGTTTGACATTTAACCCAGAAAAATAAAAACATATATTCCCACAGAAACTTATATGTAAATGTTCATAGCAGGTCTATTGATAAATAACCCAACACTGAAAACTTACCCAAATGTCCACCATTATGTGAGTTGTTAAACAAATGGTAGTGCATCTTGTATTATTTGGGGTTCTTCAAATAAACAGAATTAGTAGGATATATTTTATACATACACACACACCCACACACACACGAAGAGAGAAAGAGATTTAGAGAGAAATTTATTATGAAGAATTGGATCACATGATTATGATGATTATGGGAGATCAGAAGTCCTATAATCTTCCCTCTACAAGCTGGAGATCTGAAAAAGTTGGTGGTATAATTGAGTCAAAGTCTGAAATCAGAGAACAAAAAGGAGTGCTTTATTTATTTCTTCATCTTTTGTTCTATTTAGTTTCTCAATGAATTGGATGATGCCTGCTTACATTGGGAGGACAATCTATTTTATTAAGTTCAACAATTCAAATTCTAATCTCATCTGGAAACACCATCATAGAAACACTAAAAAAAAAACATTTAATGTGGGAACCCTGTGGCCAGTCAATTTGACACGTAAACTTAATAATCACAATTCCATAATACGGAATACTACTCAGCAATAAAAAGGAACAAACTGTTCATGCATATGACAATTTACATAAACTTCAATTAAGTTTTATTGTTTGAAAACAAAGGTTAGAAAAATATCTCAAAAAGCCATACAATATGTGATTCCATTTATGTTACATTTTTAAGTGACAAAACTAGGAGATTATAATTATGGAGATGAGGGATGATCAATGGGAAATGTAATACCTTCTTGTACATCTTTCACAGCTTCCTGTAAATTTATAGTTATTTCAAAATAAAAAAATATATATATTTTATATCTATACATAAAATTAAAATAGTCTAGTGTTCTTTATCTTTTATATAGATGATTCTTCCCATGTAGTTTCATATTTTTATGTTGAAAACCTTGGTTTATAATTTTTTTAGTAAATGTTTATTGATGACAAATTATTTCAAATTTTCAATGCCTTACAAATCCTTTTATCATTTCAGTTTGAAAGCTATTTTAATTGTTTATAGATTTCTAGGCCAAATTTTCTTTTCTTCCTGATTCTAAAGATGTTGGTCAACTCTCTTCTGGATTCTGTCATTTCCAAAAGGAAATCTTCTGTCATTGTCATCTTTGCTCTTCTGTAAATAACGTGTCTCTTTATTCTGGCAGCTTTTAAGAGAATCTTCTTATCACTGATTTTTAAGCAGTTTGATAATTATATGATTTGATATAGTTTTCTTTATCTTTTTTATTTATTTATTTTTTTTTGAGATGGAGTCTCGCTCTGTTGCACAGGCTGAAGTGCAGTGGCACGATCTTGACTCACTGCAACCTCCGCCTCCTGGGTTCACGCCATTCTCCTGCCTCAGCCTGCCGAGTAGCTGGGACTACAGGCGCACGCCACCACACCTGGCTAATTTTTTATATTTTTAGTAGAGACAGGGTTTCACCATGTTAGCCAGGATGGTCTCGATCTCCTGACCTCGTGATCTACCTGCCTCAGCCACCCAAAGTGCTGGGATTACAGGCGTGAGCCACCGCACCTGGCCATAGTTTTCTTTATTATTATTTGCTTCCTGTTCATTGAGTTTCTTGGCTCAGTGTGTAAACTATATTTATAGTTTTTATCAAGTTTGTAATATTTTGACATTTATCCCAATGCCTTTTCTGCCCAGTCTGTCTTCTGTTTTTTCAGAGGCTGCAGTTATATGTTGATTAAACTTCTTGAATTTTTCCTACAGCTAACTGATACTCTGTACATTATTCTTCAGTCTTGATTCTCTCCACGACAAATAATAGAACACACTTGAGGTTTTTTGTTGTTGTTGTTCTTTTTTTTATTTTTAAGGAGACTTACTGTAGGGAAATATGTGCTTATAAGATGCCTTGGAAGAATGTGCTTTCAACTGGACTTCCAGGAATGACTACTACAACCAGAGGACAAGACTAATTCCAGAAATATATAACTTTAATTATTGTTCACAGATCTGGAAATGGTCACTATAACTGTTGACTCCAGGTTCACACTATTCTTGCTGAATCATTTTAGCAAAATATGAATTCCCTCAAATGTTGCTGATTACCTTCTATTATGCTAGGAATCAAAGGAAAGTTCTACTACTTTTTCTACAGAAACAATCAAACCACTAGGGAAAATACAAAAATTGAAAATGTAAAAACAAAATACAATGCCTCCACAATTAAATTTACCAAAAATCAACAGAAGAGGAAAAGGTCAAGTCCGAACCTCATTTGTACCTTTTATAGCATGTGTATGTGCTCTTGATTGGCTAATCTCAAGTCACATCTGAAACACTTGCTACTAGAGAATCTGGGAAATGTATTCTTTATTTAATTTTTTCCAGTTTGTACCACAAGGAGACACACTAGAAGTAAGGTTGAATAAATGTCAAGAGCTTTTCATATATATCACATTTTCATTCTCAACAGATAGTTCTAATAAGTACGGAATTTGAGGTTGACAGTTTTATGTTTCAGTTATTTGAAGATATTATTCTGCTAAGATTTTGCTTCTAAAATTGCCATATGAAGTCAGTATTCAGCCTGAATCATATAAATAATGTACGTTTCCTCTCTGATTGCTTTAATAATTTTTCAAGATTTTATGTATTTTCATCTTCATGTGTCTAGGGGTGGATTTCTTTTTCTTTCTTTTGTTTAGGATTTGTTATAGCTCTTCATATGATAATTAGTATCTTTCATCAGTTCTGGAAATTCTTAGGTAATATTTCTTCAAATATTGTCACTCCATATTTTCTCATAGAACTCCAATTGGATGTATGCTAGACTGACATATTCTATTCTTCATACCTCTAAACCACTACTTTAGATTTCTACTCTTCACGTCTCAGTAATAAATAGGTGTAACATTGTTACATACTTTCTACAGTTTGCTAATATTTTATGTGATTCATATCCTTTCAATTACTCTAATTTTATTGTTTCTTACAACATTCATGTAAAGTTTGGTGAAATCATAATAATTGTAATCATCACTATTACTATTTTCCACATCACAAATACACACACTTACGCAGGGTGCAAGACATGTACAAGGTTTCACAGTGAACACTGGTACCCGAGCCTGTATATTTTAATTCTTTACAATGTATTATATTATTAGTTTAAAACCTATAGAAAATAAGTTGAATCACCATAAGTTTATTAAACTATTCTTTTCTCTTTCAAAGCATGACATGATTTGACAAGACAAGGTTCACCAGTTATCTCTGATTAGTAGTTTCAAGATTTGGTAGGAAAAGGCTGGGTAGACGTCGATCAGTATAGTATATCACGATTCAAAAAGAATTGCAAATACATATATGAAAATAGGGAGAGAAGATATTCACAGTTGTTATGTTGACGTCAGTGTTTCCATCTAGCAAATAGGTGCAGATTCGTGGCTTTTGTTTTGCAATTTTGTGTACTGTGCATTCCTATTTAAAGACACACATATCTACACTATGGAATTTTGCAACCTATCCATGTAGGAGGAACCAGCCCTTCATCACGGGACAGATTCCAGAGCAAGCTTATAGGACATCTATCTTTAGGAAAGATTATGGACAGTTTTTAATCAATTGTTCTAATTCCAATAATATAGATGCTATTCCAAAGTAGAAGAGGATCCAACACTCTGGCATGACCAGAGATTAAAAATCACCACTCAGTGTCTGAGTAAACCAACATGTTTTTCAAACACAAGAGGAATATTTTAGAAAGAATGATAGATCAGTCTACTCATTATGTCTACTGGATAATATGTCAGTTGCTCCTGTATTTGGGAATACATTGAATATCTTTTGGGGATGAGATATTGTAAAAAGATATGTTAAATTCATAGCCAATAGCTGAGGGAACAGAGAAATCTACTTTTAAGTTGGTAGCACAATTGGAATTTGAAGACAGGGCTGAGAATTGGGAAAATAGAAGTTAGTCTGCTGTGAAGGTTGTCATGCTCAAGTGCGTGTCTGTTCTGTAGGATCTGTGGTTTATAGTCACTGATGATGTGCCTCTTTCTCTTGAAAATGTCTCATGAAAGCTAAACTGATAAGAATATGAGTATCTTCAAAACTTTTGACAAAATATTCACTTACAATTTTCCACCACAAAAAAAAGAGAAACAGTCAAATGGTCTAATTTGTTTTTTTTTTCCCACTAGGTAATTAGGTATTATTTCTGAATATAAGTTTATTGAGAATAGCATACATACAAAAAAGTACACAGGTCACATCGTGATGTATTTTTGACACTAACTTGAAGACACCTAGATAGCCAGCAACAGATCAAGAAGCAGAATATCACTGGGTTTCCAGGAGCCCCATAGTGGTCTCTTCTATTAACCATTCTCCCCAACAGATGGTGATATCCTAACATCTGACACGATGAATTTCCCTGTTTGTAAACTTTATATAAATGGAGTTACAAAGTATTTTTTTAGTATGAATCTTCTCATTTAATGTCATTGTTATGTTTTAATTCATTCATACTTACTATTTTATGATATTCCTTGTAGGAATTTATAATGAAGTATTTTTAAAGAATGGACTTTCAGTCATTTATTTACTACTCATTCAATACATAGTTATTGCAAGAGAAGTGTCTTAGTAAGAGGACAAAATACAGCAAAGAAAGAAATCATGGTTGTTCCTTCAGGAAGATTTCAGGCTACAGACAGGATAAGTAGTAATCAAGTTATCCAGCATCTACAAGAAACTTAAACAAATTTATAATTAAAAAAACTTCATTTAAAAGTGGGTAAAGATATGAACAGACACATTTCAAAAGAAGACATACATGCGGATAATAATATGAAATAAAAGCTCAGTATCACTGATCATTAGAGAAATGGAAATAAAACCCAAAATGAGATACAATCTCACACCAGTCAGAATGGCTATTATTGAAAAGACAAAAAAAAGAAAAAAAAAAAGATGCTGGTGAGGTTGCAGAGAAAAGGGAACCCTTATACACTGTTGATGGGAGTGTAAATTAGTTCCATCATTGTGGAAGACAGTGTGGTGATTCCTCAAAGACCTAAAGACAGAAATAATATTTGACCCAGAAATCCCATTACTGGGTATATGCCTAAAAGAATATAAATCATTATATTATAAAGATGCATGCACACATACGTTCATTGAAGCACTATTCACAATAGCAATGACATGGAATCAACCTAAATGTCCATCAACGATAAACTGGATAGAGAAAATGTGGTAAATATACATCATGGAATACTATACAGCCATATAAAAGAACAAGATCATGTCCTTTGCAGTAACATGCATGGAGATGGAGGCCATTATCTTTAGCAAACTAATGCAGGAACAAAAAACCAAATTCTGGATGTTCTCACTTAGAAGTGGGAGCTAAATGATGAGAACACATGGACACATAGAGGGGAAAAACACACACTGGGGCATATGAGAAGCTGAAGGGTGGGAGGAGGGAAAGGATCAGGAAATACAACTAATGGGTACTAGGCTTAATACCTGGGTGAAAAAATAATCAGTATAACAAACCCCATGACACAAGTTTACCTAAATAACAAACCTGCACATACACCCCTGGACTTGAAAGTTAAATTAAAGAAATCCCCCCAAAATTTTCAAAAAATGGAAATGGTATAAAAAAAGCAAACAGAGTAAAACATTTGTAAAAAGTAAATTTTTACTTAAATTCTGTGTTAATATATCAAAATCATTTATCTCAAGTAATACTTGGCTAAATTCCTTTAGACTTTAACAGGTTGGGAGCCAAATATTTTTTTCTGTGTTACTCAATTATGCCCCATGTGTCCTTGCACTGAGATGTGTTTAATGTTGATTATTGGGTCAAGTCAGGGACTTGATAACCTCTGATTTACAAAAACATGTGATGGAATACTACAAGATAAACTCTTCATGTGAATGAATTTATGTTATGTAACCAATAAATTTAGAATTTTAAGAAATGAGATATAAATAACTTTTTGTTGTCTGTATATGCATTTTACTTTTTAAAATTTCCTCTATACTTTTTCTCTTTTATTTGCTATCCAAATAATCCTTTGAATATAGCATTTAAGGAGAGTAATGATTCAATCAATTATGCATGCTGGTAAGGTCACACAGCATGCTTATTTGTATATTAACTCTTTGGGATTTTATTTTGCTACCTGGCCCTTACTTTGCCTCAAATCTGATTGTTATTTTTAGTTTTTAAATTTGAAAATAGTTTAATTGTTAAGGCTATCTGCGATTTTTCCCCAAAATGCAACAAGAATACATATACATAAACACTTATCTTAAATTTTCATAGCATTTTAACATCCCAAAAGTCACTACCACCAAATTAGCACTTATTAACCAAACCTTGTTTTTCTCATCACAGTAACTCTGTAAGGTAGATGATGACTAATATGATTTGGCTCTGTGTCCCCACCCAAATCTCATGTTGAATTGTAATTCTCAATGATGGGGGAGGGTCCTGGTGGGAGGTGATTAGATCATGGGAGTGAATTTCCCCCTTGCGGTTCTCATGATAGAAAGTTCTCATGAGATATGGTTGTTTGAAAATGTGTAGCAATTCCCCCTTTGCTCTTTCTCCTGCTCTACCATGTGAGGATAGTGTTTGCTTCCCCTTCACTTTCCACTATTTTTGTAAGTATACTGAGGCCTCCCCAGCCATGCCTCCTGTACAGCCTTTGGAACTGAATCGTACAGCCTTTGGAACTGAATCAACTGAACCTCTTTTCTGATAGATTATCCAGTCTTATGTAGCTCTTTATAGTAGTATGACAACAGACTAGTACTGACAATTGGTACTGGGAGTGAGGCATTGCTATAAAGATACCTGAAAATGTGGAAGCCACTTTGGAACAGGGTGATGGGCAGAGGTTGGAACAGTTTGGAGGGCTCAGAAGAATACAAGAAGATGAGGGAAAGTTTGGAACTTCCTACAAAGTTTTTGAAAGGTTGTAACCAAAATGCCAATAGTGATATGGACAGTGAAGTCCAGGCTGAGGTGGTCTCAGATGGAGATGAGGAACTCATTGAGAACTGGAATAAAGGTGATTCTTGCTGTGCTTAACAGAGACTAGAGGCATTGTGCCTCTGCTCTAGAGTTTTAGGAAGCTTTGAACTTGAGAGAGATGACTTACAGTATCTGGCAGAAGAAATATCTAAGCAGCAAAGCATTCAGGATGTGGCCTGGCTATTTTTAAAAGCCTATGCTCATTTGCATAAACAAAGAAATGATCTTAAGATAGAACTTATATTTAAAAGGGAAGCAGAGCATACAAGTTCAGAAAATTTGCAGCCTGAAAATGTGTAGTAAAGAAAATCCCACATTCTAAGGAGAAATTCAAGCTTGCTGCAGAAATTTGCATAAGTAAAGAAAAGCCAGGCCAGGCATGGTGGCTCACAGCTGTAATCCTAGCACTTTGGGAGGCCAAGGTGGGTGGATCACCTGAGGTCAGGTGTTCAAGACCAGCTGGGCCGACATGGCAAAACCCCATGTCTACTAGAAATACCAAAATTAGCAGGATGTGGTGGTGCATGCCTGTAATCCCAGCTACTTGGGAGGCTGAGACAGGAGAATAGCTTGCAATCAGGAGGCCGGGGTTGCATTGAGCTGAGATTGTGCCACTGCACTCCAGCCTGGGTGACAGAGTGAGACTCCATCTCAAAAAAAAAAAAAAAAAAAAAAATTCCAAATGTTAATAGCCAAGAAAATGGGAAAAATGCATCCAGGACATTTCAAAGACCTTCACGGAAGCCACTCCCATAACAGGCCCAGAGGCCTAGGAGGGAAAAATGGTTTCATGGGCCAGGCCCACACTCCTGCTACTCTGTGCAGCCTTGGGACATGGTACCCATGTCCCAGCTGCCCCAAATTTAGCTGTGGCTAAAAGGGTCCAAGGTACAGCCCAGGCCATTGCTTCAGAGGTTGCAAGCCCCAAGCCTTGGTGGCTTCTATATTGTGTTGGGCCTGTGGTGAGCAGAAGGCAAGATTTGAGATTTGGGAGCCACTGCCTAGATTTCAGAGGATGTATGGAAATGCCTGAATGTCCAGGCAGAAGTCTGCTGCAGGTGCAGAGGCCTCATGGAGAATCTCTACTAATGCAGTGTGGGAAGGAAATGTTAGGTTGGATCTCCCACACAGAGTCCCCACTGGGCACTGCCTAGTGGAGTTATGGGAAGATGGCTACCATCCTCCAGACCCCAAAATGGTAGATCTATTGACAGCTTGCATTGTGCACTTGGAAAAGCCACAGGCACTCAGTGCCAGCCTGTGAAAGCAGCCACAGGGACTCTGCCCTGCAGAGCCATAGGAGTGCAGCTGCCCAAGACCTTGAGATCCCACCCCTTGCATCAGCATGCCGAAGATGTGAGATGTGGAGTCAAAGGCAATTATTTTGGTGCCTTGAGACTTAATGACTATCCTGCTGGGTTTTGGACTTGCATGTGGAATTTACCCCTATTGTTTTGGCCAATTTCTCCCTTTTGGAATGGGAGCACTTACACAATGCCTTTGCCCTCATTATATCTTGAAAGTAACTAATTTGTTTTTGATTTTGCAGGCTCATAGGTGGAAGGGACTTGCTGTGTCTCAGACGACACTTTGGACTTTTGAGTTAATGCTGGAATGAGTTATCCTTTGGAGGACTGTTGGGAAGGCATGATTGTGTTTTGAAATGTGAGAAGGATATGAGATTTTGGAAGGGCCAAGGGGAGAATGATATGGTTTGGTTCTGTGCTCTCACCCAAATCTCATGTTGAATTATAATTCCCAATGTTGGGGGAGGGTCCTGGTGGGAGGTGATTGGATCATGGGGGTGGATTTCCACCCTGCTACTCTTATAATAGTGAGTTCTCATGAGATCTGGCAGTTTAAAAGTGTGTAGCACTTCATTTGCTCACTCTCCTGCTCCACCACTTGACAATAGTGCTTGCTTCCCCTTCACCTTCCACTCCTATTGTAAGTTTTGTAAGGCCTCCCCAGTCATGTCTCCTGTATAGCCTGTGGAACGGTGAGTCAATTACACTTCTTATAAATTGTCCAGTCTCCAGTAGTTCTTTATAGTAGTGTGAGAATAGATGAATACAGTGACATTACTGTTTCTTTTTTAATAGTGTAGAAATTTGAAGGTTAAACTGCTAAATATTATGTGGCTAGTTAAGAGCAGATATGCTATTTGAATCTAGATTGTTTAAGTCAAATTGGTGCCCATACCAATATTCAGGAAACAAATATGTGTAGATCTATTATCCTCATCTTTCCTGTGTTGAGTTTAGGGCATAATGACATCATAGCACATCCAGAGAAATAGTAGGAATAAAAATAATGTTGAAGGAAAAGGAAAGAAAGATGATGTGAGTGATTCCTAATTTAACTTTAGCTAGGTGCCATTTCTACTGAAAATCTGTATGACTCCAAAGGAACATTTTCCAACCTATATTCCAGGGTTTTTTGAACATGATTGGAAAATAAAAATAGCACTAATAAAAATTCAGAGACATAGATGGCTAAACAATAATTTAGCCAGCACTAAAATAAGCAAAATTAAACAGGTTTCTTTGCTTAAAATATGTCTTTGCCTTTACTACAGCAATATAAAGGGAAAGTAACTTAATTGACCATAGAATCCTTTTGCCTTTTTTCTCATAAGCTATGTCACACTTTGTTCCACAAAACATGCCTTAAAAACAATGCATCAAGAAATTATTCATCTGTGTAAGGGAAATCAGTCTACTCTAGAATTTATACAGGAAAAATTAAGAAAAAAATATAACTACAATTTTCTCCTAAATAGAATTATACAATACCACAAGAGTAGTTTGTTACTTAGTGTTCTAAAGACTATATGCCTATATTTCCAGACAGAAAATTCATTATATACCCTTAGTCTTCATCAAAACTGGGCCACAGACTTTAAGGGAACTGTGTGATAAATTGTCCCTGGAACTCTCAGTCTTTGTGTGATTGATACTCACAAGAAATTGCTCAACAAGAAATTGTTATTAAACTACATGTGTACTTATTTAGGAAGTTAAAATAAAATCTATTAAGAAAAAAGCTCAAAGTTTTATTTTTGAATAACCATCCAAGGTGGTTTCCTCATTTAGGAGCAAGAGTTCTAAAAACTTGCTAAGGGGGTCGTGATCCCTGAAAAAACTTGACACTTTGGTTTAACCCAAGTCAGCACAAATAGGCAAGTAGTCAGATCCTTTTTGACCCCAGATGATTAAATAGAAAGTGTTGCTCAATAAAGCAAGGAAACTGTGCCCTGACCTCTCTTCTGGTTCAGATACTGTTGTTTCAAGACACTACACTATTTGGATTTCTGCATGAGGTGGAATAATAATGCTTCCATGTGTTGGGTTTTTGTTTTTTGTTTGTTTTTTCTTGTTTTTAAAGTTTCTTCAGTAAGCTTCCCCTACAGGAAAGTAGAAAAAAACCTGTGTTGGGTAATTAATTTTTAGTATTCTAGATCTTTTAATAGCCTTTCCATACTGAGAGTTTTTTCTATGGATTATTTCCAGGAGAGTTCAATAGCAATGTATAATTTAAGGAGAATTAGAAACATTACCAGGATTCTGTATGTGTCCCACCTAGTTCCCTGTATTTCCATCACCAACTCTGCTGTGGGCACCAGTCCCTAAGCTGCTATGAGTTCATTGATTGATACCTCCTCATACCTGCATTCTCCCCCTGAAGATTGCTCCTGAGAGGTTACAGCTGCCTTCTTCAAGAAGCTTGCAGGCTAGGTGTCATCCTCCTCCCCTTGCTTCCAAGAAGGACAGATGCAGTTAGACTCCAAAAATCATTTGAGGATCATGTTGAATTTAAATTCATCTGAAACCACACTACTACTTGCCCCTTCAGCACACCTATCATGTTCCTTTCATCCTACTAGTTTCTCTTGAGAACTCTCCCACAATAAATCAAATACATACAATGTTAACATCGGATCCTGCTTTGAGAGAAACTATTATAAAATGGATGTCAAACAGAAAATACTAAAAGACATGCAACCCCAAAACTTTATCTAAGAGTCCAGGAACCAAGAAAGACCCAATGCTCTATAGTTTCCTGGCATATTGACTATGACAAACAAATAAAACACAAGTAGGATTAGTCAGATGTTTGTAAGTCATGAAAAATGAAACGGACTGGAAAAACTAGATAAAACTATTAGCTAACAGCAAATGGGGCACGGCACTCAATAAAACAACATAAGAGTGGGTAAAATTAATTTTATATCCAGTTATGATGTAAAAGGATTTTAACACTTGTATTAGGCTGTTCTTGCACTGCTATAAAGGAATACTTGAGGTTGGGTAATTTATAAAGACAAGAAGTTTAATTGGCTCACACTTCTCCAGGCTGTATAAGAAGCATAGTGCTGGCAACTGTTTGGCTCTGGGAGGGCCTCAGGGAGATTATACTCATAGCAGAAGGTGAAGTGGGAGAGGGCCTCTCACGTGGTGTAAGTGGGAGCAAGATTAGGGGACCAGGCACAAGAGGTGGTATAGTGGGGGTGTCATACACTTTTACAAAGCCAGATCTCGTGAGAACTCACTATTGTGAAGACAGAACCATGTGAATGATGCTAAACCATTCATGAGAAATCCGCCC
The DNA here is from genome assembly GCF_000001405.40 of Homo sapiens. Taxonomy (NCBI): domain Eukaryota; kingdom Metazoa; phylum Chordata; class Mammalia; order Primates; family Hominidae; genus Homo; species Homo sapiens. The sequence goes on along the minus strand of NC_000011.10, from coordinate 42,141,073 downwards.
CCATTATCCAGTCACTTCCCACCAGGCCCCATCTCCAATATTAAGGATTACAATTCAACATGCTATTTGGCAGGGACATATATTCAGACTATTTCAACACTGAAAAAATACAATTTAATAGACATCATACTTATATGCAAGGCTCTCAAAAAATGGTGGATTTAAGAAATCCCAGGAGAACTCATTTCAGGAAAAAAAAAGGAGCCCTCTATAAGTGAGAAGAAAGTTCCGGCTTTTTCCTGGGGGAAATGGCAGATCTAGGTATGGGCAAAATAATGCCTTCCAGAGAATATGCCAGGTTAAGAGAGATCAACAAGGTTGAGCTATAAGTATTGGTGAAGAAGGTAGAGAGGTATGGAGTTGAGAGTCTAGTAAAAGTAAAAGTAAAAACAATCATCTTAATCTGACTATTTACAACTCTATTTTGCCTCAGTAAATGACCAGGAATGCAAGGCTGAAAAGAATAAAAAGTCTCTGCAGGCTTGAACATTCTCACTATGCTTATTAGAGCAAGGGACCACTATTGCTGATTCTGAAGGTGAAAACATGAACCAACTGCACCTTAGACCAAACTTAAGAAGATAAAAGATATCAGCCACTCCCAAGAAGGGTCCACAGTAGCACACTAGTTGGTGGTTGGGCTAATCAAAAATTCAATCTTATTAAAAGTAAAGCTCAGTTGCAGATTAATTTGACGCTTCATCTTAGTTGCCAGACATATCAAAAGAACTCACCATTTCAGAGAAAAACAGAAAAAGCAAAGAGTAGTACACTTCAAATTCCACTATTCCTTTATATACAATATCTTGTTTACAATTAAAAATATGAAATAGGTCACAAATATTAGAATTAGCAGGAAAGATTTTTAAAATAATTACATATGTTCATGTACTTAACGGAAAAGATAAAGTGAATAGATGAACAGATATATATTCTCAGCAAAGAAAGGGAATCTGTACAAAATAATCAAATCAAAATTCTAGAAGTAAAAAAATACCATATCTTTTATAGAAAAAGAAACAAAAACGAAGCAAGGAAGAAAACAATGAACATTAGATAAATTTGATACTAGAGTGGACACTGCAGAAGAAAGGATCATTGAACTCAAAAACCTGAAAAAGGTCAATAAGCATTAACTATACAGAAGCATATAGAAAAAAAAAAGTAAAAAACTAAATAGAATGTAAATAACTAGTGAATAACTAGTGGAAGAGCTTCTAACAATCTAAAATATGTGTAAGTAGAGTCCAAGAAAGACTAAAAAATATATGAAATAGTTTTGCTGACACCTTCATATAAATGAATCGCTGAGACTTTAAGTGGAATCTGTTTTAAGAGATCACCCATGAAGCAGGCAACGCTAAGCAATGGAAACCTCAGTGTCCAGTTGAATTAAGAGGTTTTGAGTTTTTCATTCCTATATTCAGGCATCAAAATGTATTTTCCAGTCTCATCTGAGTAAACTAGAAAGTATTTACTTTTGTAGTAAAGAGAAGAATTTAAACATTCAAGATGGATATAAAGGAGATATGGAAAAATAACATTAACGCAACTGCTTTTTTTTCTCAATCAGGAAAAATGTAAATTCAGTACAATGCAGTGGCTACTCACTGAACAGTGAGTTGCGATATCTAGTTTCTAGACCAGAGTTACTCCCTAATTAGTATTGTGAGTTTGGGCAGAGTAATTCTCTTTCCCTCAGACCCAGTTTCCATTTCCAAAAGATGAAGTATTAGAGATTAATCTTGTGGTCTTATAGAAATCTAAGAGTCTATGAAATTAATGGCTTAATTCAGGGAATTAAACTATGGCAGAGAGCCAAATCTAGTTCACTGTCTCCTTTTGTAGATAAAGTTTTATTAGAACACAGCCATGGTCATTTGTTAACATATTGTCTATGACTGCTTTCAAGCTACAATGGCAGAGCTGAGTAGGTACAACAAAGACCATATGGCCTGCAAAGCATAAAATATTTACTATCTGCACCTTTACAGAAAAAAATGCATCAAACTTTGGCTTAGCTGAATGGAAAGTACACTTGTTAAAAATATCCTCAGTGTCCTAATTTAATATTCAGAGTTATAGCCTTCCTAATTTTTCTGCTGCCAAGAAGCACTGACTGCCCTTTTTAAACAATTGAGCACCAAATTCCCCCGAGAGGAGATAATGACACTAAATTGTTAGAAGCAGCAGAAAGGGTTTTCAAGGAGAAAGGAATACATAATCCAATAAATGAATAACAAAATGGAGAAAATATATGCATGTTGTCATCTGGAGAAGATATTTTATATAAAGATGTTTTATAGTCATTAGTATTGTTGACAAGTAATCTGGTCCTCCTGTTTCTAGACATATAGTAGGATTTCATGTCACATGGCAACATACGTTTTTGTCATGTGACATAATCATAAATGTGATGTATCATCATATTTATATTCCCAAGGATTAAGTTTAGAAATCTTAGGGGAAATCCTGGGAATGGGGTTAAAATTCTACCTACCACATTTGCTCAACAAGATATGAACAAACATTATATGTTTTTCTTCCATGAAGTTAGTTTTATGAGCCATGAAAGTTTTGCTATATCTTTTTTTTTTTTTACTTATCTCCAGCAATTAGCAACATTCCAATGACACCTATTCTATCAGCTGGGGTTAAAGAGTAACATAACATAGGTTTGAGATTCCAGCCAACCTGTATTGTATGCAATGAGAAATACATATTTAAAGTATTTTTTAATTAAAATAAAATCTATATGCAACAAAATGCACTCACTTTAGGAGTAAAATCAAATGAGTTTTGACAAAAATATTTGTTAAATATTTATAAAATATAAAATGTTTGGCCAGGCGCGGTGACTCATACTAGTAATCCTAGCACTTTGGGACGCTAAGGTGGGTGGATCACTTGAGCTCAGGAGTTTAAGTCCAGCCTGGGAAACATGGCGAGACTCCATCTCTACAAAAAATTCAACCATTAGCTAGGTGTGGTGGTGCATACCTGTAGTCCCAGTTACTCGAGAGGCTGAGGTGGGAGGATTGCTTGAACCCAGGAGTCAGAGGTTGCAATGAGCCGAGATTGCATGACTGCACTCCAGCCTGGGTGACAGAGAAAGACCCTGTCTCAAAGAGAAAGAGAAAAGTATATATATAACCTGTATAATACACCAACAAAGACAGAACAATTCCACAATGCCAAAATATTTCTTTTATGTTTCTTCTTCTGATGGGCATTTGGGTTGATTCCGTGTCTTTTCTATTGTGAATAATGCTGCAGTGAACATGTGTGTTCATGTATCTTTGTAATAGAATGATTTATATTCCTCTATGGGATTGCTGGGTCAAATGGTATTTCTGGTTCTAGATCTTTGAGGAATCACCACACTGTCTTTCACAATGATTGAACTAATTTACACTCCCACCAACAGTGTAAAAGTGTTCCTATTTATCTGCAACCTCACCAGCATCTGTTGTTTCTTGACTTTTTAATAGTCACCAATCTGACTGGCAGGAGATGGTATCTCATTTTGTTTTTGATTTGCACTTCTCTAATGATCAGTGATGTTGAGCATTTTTTATAGGTTTGTTGACCACATTAATGTCTTTTGAGAAGTGCCTATTCATATACCTTGCCCACTTTTTAATGGGTTCATTTTTTGTTTCTTGTAAATTTGTTTAAGTTCCTTGTAGATACTTGATATTAGACCTTTGTCAGATGGACAGATTGCAAAAATTTTCTCCCACTTTGTAGGTTGCCTGTCAGCTCTGATGATAGTTTCTTTTGCTGTGCAAAAGCTCTTTAGTTTAATTAGATCCCACACATAGATGGAGTTGGAAACCATTATCCTCAGCAAACTAATGCAGGAACAGAAAATCAAACACCAAATGTTTTCACTTATAAGTGGGAGCTGAACAGTGAGAACACATAGACACAGGGAGGGGAACAACACACGCTGGGGCCTGTTGTGGGGTGCGGGGTCAGGGGAGGGAGAGCATTAGGAAAAATAGCTAATGTATTCTGGCCTCAATACCTAGGTGATGGGTTGATAGGTGCAGCAAACCACAATAGCACATGTTTACCTATGTAACAAAGCTTCACATCCTGCACATGAAACCAAGAACTTAAAATAAAAATAAAAATTCAAAAAAAAAAACACATCTTTTGCAACTATGGAAATGATCCTATGGGTATTCTCTTTTATATTATTAATTAATTACACTGATTTTTAAGTTTTTAAATTTTACTTAGTGATATTATATTATTCTATTTATGTATTACTGAATTTGATTTATTTATCATTCCCTTTATTATATACGTGTCTACATTCATAAGGGTATTGCTCTATTTTTTGTAATGTTTTAATCGTATTTTGGCTTTAGGGTAATGTTGCCTTCATAAAATAAATCAATGAGGGATTTATCCTCCAGTATTTGATAAAAGATTAAAGTTTACGATTACACTTTAAAAAATGCGTAACAGAACTAGCCTGAAAAACAATCTGGGCTTGAAATTTTCTTTGTGAAAGGATGTTGGATTAAGAATTTCATTTCTTTATGATGTATAAATATATTCAGATTTATTCATTTTTCCTGAGTTTTGAAAAGTTTTGTTTTTCAGTTATTTAATCCATGTCTTCTAAATTGTTAAATTTATTGGCATACATTTGTTTGTGTATTACATGTTGTACTTCTAATATGTGTAAAATGTCTAGCAGTACCTTCTCTTTATTTTTTCAATTTTACATATCTGATAAAGTAAGCAACTTTTAGCACTAATTTTTTCTTCTGTTTGTTTTCTAATTTATTGTTCTCTACTCTGACCATGGTTATTTGCTTCCTTAAATTTAATATGAATTTAGCTTACATTTATTTTGCCAGATGTAGGTATTTATTTTTGAGACTTTCTTCTTTACTAATATGAGGATATAAAGCTGCACATTTCTCTGTAAGCACTGTTTTAGCTGTATTCTATAAATTTTGATATGGTATAACTTTATTGTCTTTTAGTTGAAACTATGGTTTCTATTTAGTTTTTTTGGACATATAAGTTATACTCAATTGTGTTACCTTTTAAATATTTGTAGATTTTCTGGATATTTCTAATGGTTTCTACTTTAATTCTGTTGTGATCAGAAATACTACAATTTTAGTCATATAAGGTTGAGTGACACATTTTATTTCCGGTCATAAGGTGTATCCTTGTTATCATTCAATGTAAATTTAAATTATGTATTCTTCAATAATTGGATGTCATGTTCTACAAATTGTAATTACAAGTCGATTTATAGTATTTTTCAAATATTCTATTACTAAATTTTTTTGTCTAGCTGTTTTACTAACTACTTAGTGAGGGATGTTAAAATTCCCAATTACAACTGAATATGTCTCTTTCTACCTTTATTTTTCAGTCAGTTTTTCTTTATGTGTTTTAAAGTGATATTATCATTTGCATATATCTTCAGTGTTGTTATATATTTCTTGTGGAATTTTCTCATTATGAAATATATTCCTTCTCTATGATTTTTTTAATTTAAAGTCTACTTGGATTGAAGTTAATTACACTAGTTTCTTTATGCTTTCTACAGGCATATTATGTCTCTTGTAGACAACACAGAGTTGTATCACTTTTGTTAAAATACAGTTTGGAGCCGGGCGTGGTGGCTCACGCCTGTAATCCTAGCACCTTGGGAGGCCGAGGCGGGCATATCACAAGATCAGGAGATCACGACCATCCTGGCTAACACGGTGAAACCCCCTCTCTACTAAAAATACAAAAAAATTAGCCAGGCATGGTGGCAGGCGCCTGTAGTCTCAGCTACTCGGGAGGAAACAAACATTACAAAGAATATATTTACATTCTCTTGGAGTATTGTTTTTTTAAAAAATAATTTCTTTTAAAAAATTTTTAATTTTCTGAGTACATAGTAGGTATATATACTTATGGGATACATGAGATGTTTTGATACAGGCATGCAATGTGAAATAAGCACATCATGGAGAATAGGATGTCTATTCTCTCAAACATTTGTCCTTTGAGTTACAAACAATCCAATCATACCCTTTAAGTTATTTTAAGTTATTTTTAAATGTATGATTAAGTTATTATTGACTATAGTCAACTGTTGTACTATTAAATAGTAGGTTTTTTTTTTTTTTTTTTTTTTTTGGTTTTTTTTTTTGAGACGGAGTCTCGCTCTGTCGCCCAGGCTGGAGTGCAGTGGCGGGATCTCGGCTCACTGCAAGCTCCGCCTCCCGGGTTCACGCCATTCTCCTGCCTCAGCCTCCCAAGTAGCTGGGACTACAGGCGCCTGCCACTACGCCCGGCTAATTTTTTGTATTTTCAGTAGAGACGGGGTTTCACCGTTTTAGCCGGGATGGTCTCGATCTCCTGACCTCGTGATCCGCCCGCCTCGGCCTCCCAAAGTGCTGGGATTACAGGCGTGAGCCACCGCGCCCGGCCTAAATAGTAGGTTTTATTCATTCTATTTTTTGTACCCACTAACCATCCCCACCTTCCCCTCGGCCCCCACTACCCTTCCCAGCTTCTGATAAACACCCTTCTATTCTATATGTCCATGAGTTCAGTTGTTTTGATTTTTAGATCCCATACACAGAACATGCTATGTTTACCTGTCTATGTATTGCTTATTTCACTTAACATAATAATCTTCAATTCCAACCTTGTTGTTGCAAATGACTGGATCTCATTTTTTTTTATGGCTGAATAGTACTTTTGTAACACATTTTCTTTATCCATTTACTGGGTGAAGGATACTTAAGTTGCTTCCAAATCTTAGCTAATATAAACAGTGATGCAACAAACATAGGAGTGCAGATATCCCTGATATACTGATTTCCTTTCTTTTGGGTATATACCCAGCAGTGGGATTGCTAGATCATATTGTAGCTCAATTTTTAGTATTTTGAGGAACCTCCAAACTGTTCTCCATAATGGTTGTACTAATTTACATTCCCACCAAGAGTGTACAAATGTTTCATTTTCTCCACATCCTTGCCAACATTTGTATTGCCTGTCTTTTGGATATAAATCATTTTAACTTGGATAAGGTGATCCCTTATTGTAGTTTTGATTTGCATTTCTCTAGTGATCAATGATGTTGAGCATCTTTCATAGATATGCCTGTTTGCCATTTGTATGTATTCCTTTGAGAAATGTCATCCAAATCTTTTGTCCATTTTTGATCAGATTATTAGATTTTTTCTATGAAATTATTTATGCTCTTTATATATTTTATTTATGTATTTAATCACTTAATATCCAATGTAATTTTTGAAATGACTGGTTTTGAGTTTCAAATTTTGCTATTTTCTTTCTAATTGTGCCATTCTCTGTTCTTTTTTTCTTGGATTCTTTTGAAGTAATCAAGCACTTTTAAATAATCCATTTATTTCCTTTACTGGTTTTTAGTAATGATGCTTAGATGGCTTTAAGGTTTACAATATCATTTTTAGATCATTACAGTCATGTTACATTTTGTATTATTCTTCTTAATTTAACCCTCTGTTTTGTAATATGTCATCATATGTTGCCAATATTTTATATATTATCATATACATGTCCATATAAAATGTTATTTTTGTTTTAAACATTCAGTTATCTTTTGAGAAATTTAAGAAATCATAGAAAGGTGATCTTTTTATTTGCTTACCTACTTATCATTTTCAGTGCTCTTTAATCTATATAGATCTGAGGATTTTTTTTCAATGTACCATACTTTTCTATCTGAAATTTTCACTTCATATTTTTTTGTAGTGCTAAGTTATTGGCAACAAATTTTTTAACTTAAATTTATCTGAAAATGTCTCTCGTTCTACCTAATTTTTGAAGAATGTTTTTCACTGGTCATAGTATTCTGGGTCTGTATATTTCTTTCCCACAACACATTAAAGGGGGTGTTTCATGTTTTTCTAACTGGAAAACATGTGACAAGAAGATAGTAACAATTATTTTATTATTCTCCTGCATGTGATATGTCCTTTTTCTCTGATTCTTTTTAGGATTTTTAAAAATTTTGATATTTTGAGTTTTGATTATAATGTACTTAGATGTAGTTATTCTAAAAAATATTTTTCTGCTATGATTTTTTGATGTTCTTGGATTTGTAATTAGATATTTTTTACCCATTTGGTAAATCCAGCCACATGTTTTAAAAAATATTCAACCCAATTATTTTTCCTCTCTCCCTCTGGAACATCACTTATAAATATGTTACATCTTTTGATATTGTCTTACTGAGGTTCTATTTAATATTTAAAATCTTCTCTTTTTTGATCTGCTAATTTTATTGCTCTCTCTTCAATTTCACAATCCTTTGAGACCACTAGTTTATACATCTAATGTTGTTTCAATACTCTAGGATCTAAAAATAAGAAAGAAATAAGTAAAATTCTCATATTTCTCTTTTTATGATAGACAAAACCTTCTAAGATTGAAATAAATGATGGAACCTTACATTTCTCCTTTCCGTTTTTTTTATATTTAAAAGAAAATAAAATGGAGACCTAGAGAACATTTGTCCAACTTGTTAGAGCCAGTATTAAAAGTGAAATACGTTGACTTTTATTCCTTTGTGATTTATTGCAGCTATACCACCTTCTATTCCTCTCATTTTCTTTGCGTTATCCCAGGTCTGGGAAAAATATACATAGAATTATATGCCATGCGATTATCCTGTTATAGCCTGTCTAGGACTGATTTTCCTTTCTGCCTCTAACTAAAATAAAGGGACTAATTAACACTGCTCTTGGCTACCTTCAACCTTCTCCTCTATGGTCTGAAACATGTAGAAAATTAAAAGATAAAGCTTTGCATCATGAAATCCTTGAATAATCTGAACTTTAAATATGGAAAGTGCAGTTATTGAATGAAAATAAAAACAATAAGTGCTAATCATGAATGTAGTGCTTTTGGATCCTGCAAAAGATAGTTAACAACCATGACCACATAAAGCTTACAATCAAAGATAGATGCCGCAGATCTTGTTCTTTTTCTAATTTTGTTGCTATCTAGTTATATATTATGACAAGTAACTTTTATAGGCCTCAGATATTTTATAAATAAATAAAGTTAGGACTTGCATTGAATCAGCATTTCCCAATCTTTAGTGCCTCTTTTTATTTTTCTTATTTTTTTCCATAATCGCATGCCCTACATTATTTCCTTGTAATATTTATCTTTAAGGAAATCAAAAGCTTTCTACTGCCATCTAATAAGCTAGTACAAACTCACAGCTTAAAAATCATATACGACCGGGCATGGTGGCTCATGCCTCTATTCTCAGCACTTTGGGAGGCCAAGGCGGGCAGATCACCTGAGGTCGGGAGTTTGAGACCAGCCTGACCAACATGGAGAAACTCCGTCTTTACTAAAAAATACAAAATTAGCCGGGCGTGGTGGTGCATGCATTTAATCCCAGCTACTCGGGAGACTGAGGCAGGAGAATTGCTTGAACCCGGGAGGCAGAGCTTGCAGTGAGCCAAGATTGCGCCATTGCACTCCAGCCTGGGGACAAAAGTGAGACTCCATCTCAAAAAAAAAGTCATATACATTTATTATCTCACAGTTTCTGCCTGATCCTTAATTGAGTCCTTTGCAAAGCTGTAATTCAGGTGCTGTCCAGGACTTGGTTCTAACATGTAGACTCATCTGACAATGAAACACTTTTAAACTTATTCAGGTTGTAAGCAGAGTTTATTTCCTTGTGACTGTTAAACTAAGAGCCCTGGATTGTTTTTTGAATGGTGACGAAAGATTGCTCTCATTTCCTAGAGGCCACCTGCAGCTGGTCCAGAGGACACCGTGGTTCCTCACCTCATGGCCCCCTCTCCATAGACGTTCTCACAACATGGAAGCTTTCTTCCCCACAGACAAGGGTGAAAGAAAGTGTGTCTGCTGCTGCATCTGCACTCTGATCTAGGAGGAGGAGAAAGAACCACTCAGACCATGACTCTCAGTATCCACAAGCCCTAAACTTCACCAATAATGTCCTAGATGTAGAGCAATTTCAAAGCTTCTTTACCGCAGTCAGAAGTTATCATTAAAACGTCAAAAAAACAACACATATTGGCAAGAATGTGGAGAAAAAGGAACACTGATACACTGTTGGTGGGTATGTAAATTAGTCCAATCTCTGTAGAAAATAGCATGGAGATTTGTCAAAGAACTAAAAATATAACTGCCATTCAATCCAGCAATCTTACAATCTTACTACTGGGTATCTAGCCAAAGGAAAATAAATCATTATATTTAAAATCACACCTATACTCATGTCCTTGCAGCACTATTCACAATAGCAAAGTCATGAAATCAATCTAAGTGTCTCCATTAATGGATGACTGGATAAATAAAATGCTATATATATATATATATATATATATACACACACACACACACACATGCACACACACATATATATAGCATTGCATATATATGTCACATTATGTATATTGCCATATATATATATACACACATATATATATACACACACACACATATATATATACACCATGAAATGTTACGTAGCCAGAAAAAAGAATGAAATCATATTCTTTGCAGCAACATGGATGGAACCAGAAGCCATTATCTTCAGTGAAATAAACCAGAACTGTATGTTCTCACTTATCAGTGGGAGCTAAACAATGGGTACATATGGACATATGGAGTGGTATAATGAACATGGGAGACTCCAAAAGCTGGGATGGTAAGAAGGGGGTGAAGGTTGAAAAATTACCTATTGGAACAATGTTCACTCTTTGGGTTATACATACACTAAAAGCCCAGACTTCATTACTACGCAATATATCCCTATGACAAAACTGCACTTGTAACTCCTAAATCTGTAAAAATAAAATAAAATAAAAATAAAAATAAAAAGGCAAAAAAAGCTTCATCTGCCAGAGCCAACTGCATTTCCTGTGACTCTTAAAATAATTTTGGTAACTCTGAATAACAATGTAGTTTTCAATTTTCTTTATTTAACAAGCTATTATTCAAAAATTCAATGTCTTCTGATTGTTAGAATCATGACTGAACATCACAGTGACAATATTTTCACAATATAGCTTCAAAATGTCCTGAATAATTTGAATGCAAAAATTGCAAATAGGGTGAACAAAGCCTTGAGTTAGCAGCTGCTGGGTTAAGAGCGTAAACATTTATGACCCAAGACAATCAGCACATGTTTTAACAATTTCGAAATAGATTTTTTTCATTTTTAACGATGGGAAATGGAAAATACTGAACTTTGGGTCCTGCGAATGTCTTTCATTTTTACTTAAAATCTACCTACAAAAGAAAGTCTATCAGGTGCCAAGTAGATTCAATGATGCTTTCTTCTTAAGACAATCGCATAACAAAAAAGATGATTTTTTCCAGGACTTATTTGATTTCAAAAAAATAAAAGGAACCTCAAAAAATTGGAAACTGGTTAACTTCCAGCCATTTTACTAAAACTTTAATTTTTGTCTTGTTGCATAGAGAATAAAAAGCAAGTGTTAGCTATGTCACCATGAAGTGGAGAGAAAAAGTTGGGATAATAAAAATCAAGTTCTGATTAGACATGTGTTTCTCAAGTGCCTTGAGATCTAGGTCTTGTAGTTTGAAAGATATGAACTTTATAAATTCCTTCAGTTCAATTTTGCTCATATAATAAACACATTCTTCCAGCTGCTGTTTTTAAATAGGAAATATCATGTTTTGCCATTTTCTCAGATATTTATTTTGGACCATTTCATTGGTAGCAAACAAATATTAAAGCTGATATTACAGATAATCTTTATTGCTAGTTATTTACCAGGTTTTGCTGCCTGCATAGAGATATTTTTAGTCTTTCTTCTATATGAGCTGATGATGATGAACTTTATGACTACTTCCTCTGATACTTGAAGTAATTTGCATTTATACATGTGAAACAATTAGTTTGTGACTACAATGTGCTTTAGAACTGCATAATATTAATATTATTCTTTCAATAGTGATAAGATCTAGGCTCCTCAAGGCTAATGATCAACCTAAGCATATATATATATGCTTATGTACATATTTAAATCCATTCTATTTGTGTTTCTAGTTTCTGATAAAAATGTAAACATTTAGAAAAAAACTGTTCTCTTTATCATGCCCAGGAATGTGACAGAAGTGGTATTAATTCAAAGTTTGTAAAGATGTTACACATAAAATACTGAAATCAACCAAAATATCCATCAGTATAGGATTGTCCAAGCCAATCATAGTGTGGTCACATAATAAAATATAACATTGAACCATTTGAAATAGCCATTTTGTAGGTGAAAAGCAATTGAATATTGGCAATTTTCTGCGGGTCAGTCTAATATTGTCCAGCATTTTAAAAGAAAGAAGATCTTTATGTCTTTATAAAGCTGTTATCAAAATGTTTAATTAAATAAAAAAGCAAATTATAGAAGAATATGCATTCTACAATCTCATCTTTTTATATAGAAATAAATATGCTTGAAAATATATGGAAAATTCTGAAGTAACACAAATAATACACAAACTCTTGAAAGACACTTGAGAATAGGGAAAACAGGAATCCTGATTTTTCTATTTATATGCTCATCTACTATTTGATTTCTCAGTTTAAGCATTAATTCATGGCAACACACACACACACACACACACACACACACACACTTTATTTCCTTAGAACAGGTTTAGGATCACAGCAAAATGGAGCGAAGTTACAGAGATTTCCCATATACTCTCTTCCCCTACATATGAATTGCTTCCCCAGTTATCAATATCTTCTAACAGAATATCATACTTGTTACAGTGGGTACGCTTACATTGACATATGATAATCACTCAACGTCCATAGTTCACGTTAGAGTTCATTCTTGGTATTGTACATTGTATGGGTTTAGACAAATGAGTAATGACATGAATCTGTCATAGTAGTATCATACACAGTGGCAACCACTGATTTTTTTACTATAGTAGTTTTATCTTACCCAGAATGTCATATGGTTGAAATCATACCATAGGTACCCTTTTTAGATTAGCTTCTTTTACTTATTAATATAACTTTAAAGTTTTCTTTTTTATGTTACTTTTTCATGGCTTCATGGTTCATTTCTTTTTGGTGCTGAATAATATTTCATTGTCTGTATTCCTGATGTACCAGAATTTATTTATCTATTCACCTACAGAAGGATATCTTGGTTGCTTCCAAGATTTGGCAATTATGAATAAAGCTGCTATAAACATCTATGTACAAGTTTTTGTGTGGACATGAGGTTTCATCCCCTTTGGGTAAATATCAAGGAGCATGGTTGCTGGATCACATGGTAAGAATATGTTTAGCTTATTAAAAAACTGGCAAGCTGTCTTTCAAAGTGGCCGTACCATTTTTCTTTCCCACCAGCAATGAATGAGAGTTCCTGTGACTCATTCATTTGTTGTTCTGAGTGTTTCATATTTTGGCCATTTTAATAGGTGTACAATGGTATTTTATTGTTGTTTAACCTATAGTTTTAAAAAATGAAAAGAAATCAGGCTCTTTCTCCTCAGTACCATTCAAAGTGTAGTCCATGGATGACACCAATTTACAAACTTTATCAGTCTGCAACATAATACATACAGATTGAGAGAAGCATTTTAAACCTTTTATAACAATTTGATGAGGAATTTTATATTTACTGAGTCTAATAATGAAAGATTTAAACTTGTATTTTGTATGTCCCTTTTCATTTTATTAGTTTGGTAATTGATTTTCATTGTAGTTTTCAAAAGAATCTACCCATGACTGATTAAAAATTTTGAAAAAGAAACAAGATCCTTTACCACAAATAGTTTGAGAAGTTATCGATTTATTTTTTAATCTGTGGCTTTATTGAGGTATGACTGATAAAGAAAACATTGTGTGTGTATATATTATGTGTGTGTATATATGTGTGTGTGTATATATATGTGTGTGTATATATACATGTGTGTGCTTGTGTATGTGTGTGTATAAAATACATGGTATACAGCTTGATGTTTGATATATGTATACCTTGCATAATGATTTCAACAATCAACCCAATTAACATATCTACCACCTCACATATTAGAATCTAGGACAGGTTCTGGTCCAAAAAGGGATTGAACAAATGCAGTATGAATAAATAGGTGAATGCAGTTGCCAAATTTTAGATGCTCTAAGGTAATAGAATAGACTAAACTTTTTGCTGCATTGAACTGATTCCCAGGAAGACAAGTCAAAGAAAATTCCCAGATGTTTGCCCTGAGTTCCTGGGAGGTTGCTGATGCCATAAATTCCCTAAGATAGGGAATCAGAAGAAAAGCAGATTCAGACTGACGATGGTTTTACAAATGATGATTTGTTTTTCAACAGGCTGACTTTGAGTTGAATTATAAAATTTCCAAATGAGGATGTCCAGGAACCAGATAGACACGTGAGTTAGAAGCTCAGAAAGCAGGTAAGGCTGGACATATGGATTTCAGAATTGTAGCCTTTAAAATGAATGGTATCTCCTGGGATGTAGTATGGGAAAAGAAGAGGCTAAGGACAAACCTCTGGGTGGCTAGAACAGTGTCTGGTACATGGTAGATCATGAATAATTTTTTGTCAAATGATGATGTAGATAAATATGAATCTAAATCTATTTTATCTTGAATGCTAGCTTTCTTTTTTTAGTAACCTCATCCTCTCTCTTTTTAAATTTAAATTTATTTTATATTTTAGAGACAAAGTCTTGTCCTGTCACCCAGACTGGAGTGCAGTGGCAAGCTGATAACTAACTGCAGCCTCAAACTCCTTGGTTCAAGCAATCCTCCCACCTCAGCCTCTTGAGTAGTTGAGACTACAAGCATAAGCCACTGTGCCTGGCTATTTTTTATTTTTTTGTGGAGATAGAGTTTCTGTATGTTGCTGAGGTTGGTGTCAAACTCCTGGCCTCACACTATCCTCATGCCTCAGGCTCCCAAAGGGCTGAGATTACAAGTGTGCCACATGCTAGGATTACAAACCACTATGCCAGGCCTCCATTCTGCTCCTGAACTGCACATCATTGCAATACTGCTTTCAGCTGGGGTTGGAGTAAGAAAAAAGAAATAAAAAACACAGAGAAAGACAAGAAGGATCTAGCTGTGTTCAATGCTGCTAAAAATCAAGTAAGATGGCAAGAAAAATATTTCTACTGGGTTTGCCAACAGGGAGGTCATTGAAGACCTTAGCAAACATGCTTTTGGGGGAACAATAGAGGTAAGAGCTCACTGGAGCTGGTTGAAAGTAATGCAAAGTACAGAAATGTAGATTATATATCCATTCTTTATCAAGAAGCTTAGCTGTGAAATAAATCTTAGAATTATTAAGGCGTTATTATGGGTGTGGGTAATAGAGACTGATTTATTCTCTAGGCCTACCAATAAAATATTTTGTTATAGTATGACTTGCACTATTTCATTATTTCATAAATAACACTAGTAATAAAAATAGTACTGTTGAGAAATATAAAATTTAATAAATAATCATTATGTGTAGTTATTTCTACATAGATATTATACATTATTCCATGTGGTCTTAATAAGAAACTCACAAAATTGGTTTTATTTTTATTTTACAGACAAGAACATTTGTGTTTAAGGAGATTAAATGACTTGTCCATTGTTATTAGGTATTTGTTGGTGGAATCTAAATGTGACCAGCATTATTTCCTTCTGAAACCAAACCCATTTTCTTTTTTTGTGTGTGTGTGTGTGTGTGTGTGTGTGTGTGTGTGTGTGTGTGTGCAACATGGCTGTTTATTTCACCTGGGTGCAGGCGGGCTGAGTCCGAAAAGAGTCAGCAAAAGGAGATAGGGGTGGGGCCGTTTTATAGGATTTGGGAAGGTAATGGAAAATTACAGTCAAAGGGTGTTGTTCTCTGGTGGGCAGGGGAGGATCTCACAAAGTACATTCTCAAGAGTGGGGAGAATTACAAAGAAACTTCTTAAGGGTGGGGAAGACTACAAAGTACTTTCTTAAGGGTGGGGGAGATTACAAAGTACATTGATCAGTTAGGGTGGGGCAGGAACAAATCACAATGGTGGAATGTCATCAGTTAAGGCTGTTTTTACTTCTTTTGTGGATCTGCAGTTACTTCAGGCCATCTGGATGTATACGTGCAAGTCACAGGGGATGCGATGGCCTGGCCTGGGCTCAGAGGCCTGACATTCCTGCCTTCTTATATTAATAAGACAAATAAAACAAAATAGTGTTGAAGTGTTGGAGCGGCGAAAATTTCTGGGGGGTGGTATGGAGAGAGAAAGGGCGATGTTTCTCAGGGCTGCTTCAAGTGGGATTAGGGGCGGCGTGGGAACCTAGAGTGGGAGAGATTAAGCTGAAGGGAGGTCTTGTGGTAAGGGGTGATATTGTGGGGATGTTAGAAGAAACATTTGTCGTATAGAATGATTGGTGATGGCCTGGATACGGTTTTCGATGAATTGAGAAGCTAAACGGAAGATACAAGGTCCGAATAAAAGGAGAAGAAAAATAGGTATTAAAGGACTAAGAATTGGGAGGACCCAGGACATCCAATTAGAGAGTGCCCAAGGGGGTTCAGCATAATTACTTTCTTGGTTGGCAAGTTTTTGGGCTCTATCCTTGAGTTTTTTTATGTTGTCATACACCAGGCCAGATTGATTTAGGTAAAAACAACACTCCTCATTTAAGAATATGCAGAGTCCTCCTTTTTCGGCAGTAAGTAAGTCAAGGCCTCGGCGGTTTTGGAGGACAACTGCAGCTAAAGAGTCAACTTGGGCCTGGAGGACTGATAAAGTTTGTGATTTTGAGGGCCTCTAAAAGTATTAAAGCAGCAGCAGCTGCTGCACGCAGACATGAGGGCTAGGCTAAAACAGTAAGGTCAAGTTGTTTGGACAGAAAGGCTACAGGGTGTGGTCCTGGCTCTTGTGTAAGAATTCCGACCACGCTAACCATGCCTAGGAAGGAAAGGAGTTATTGTTTTGTAGAAGGTGCTGGGGTTTGAGAGATCAGTCGGACACGATTGGCAGGGAAAGCACGTGTGTTTTTATGAGAATTATGCCAAGATAGGTAACAGATGAGGAAGAAATTTGGGCTTGATTGAAGTAATGGGGGCTGTCTGTGAAGCTTTGCGGCAGTACAGCCTTGGTAATTTGCTGAGCCTAATGGGTGTCAGGGTCAGTCTAAGTGAAAGCAAAGAGAGGCTGGGACGAGTGGTGCAGGGGAATAGTGAAAAAAGCATCTTTAAGATGGAGAACAGAATAGTGAGTTGTGGAGGAACGTATTGAGGACAAAAGAGTGTAAGGGTTGGGCACCACAGGGTGGATAGGCAAAACAATTTGGTTGATAAGACGCAGATCCTGAACTAATCTGTAAGACTTATCCGGTTTTTGGACAGGTAAAATGGGGGAATTGTAAGGAGAGTTTATAGGTTTTAGAAGCCCATGCTATAGCAGGTGAGTGATAACAGGCTTTAATCGTTTTAAAGCATGCTGTGGGATGGGATATTGGCGTTGAGCGGGGTAAGGGTGATTAGGTTTTAATGGGATGGTAATGGGCATGTGATCAGTTGCCAGGGAAGGAGTAGAGATGTCCCATACTTGTGGGTTAAGGTGGGGGGATACGAGAGGAAGATGCGTAGGAAGCTTTGGGTTGGGGAGAAGGGCGGCAATGAGATGCGGCTGTAGTCCAGGAATAGTCAGGGAAGCAGATAATTTGGTTAAAATATCTCGGCCTAATAAGGGAACTGGGCAGGTTGGGATAACTAAAAAAGAGTGCATAAAAGAGTGTTGTTCAAGTTGGCACCAGAGTGGGGGAGTTTTCAGGGGTTTTGAAGCTTGGCCGTCAATACCCACAACAGTTATGGAGGCAAGGGAAACAGGCCCTTGAAAAGAAGGTAATGTGGAGTGGGTAGCCTCCATATTGATTAAGAAGGGGACGGACTTACCTTCCACTGTGAGAGTTACCCAAAGCTTGGCATCTGTGATGGTCTACGGGGCTTCCGAGGTGATCGGGCAGTGTCAGTCTTCAGCCGCTAAGCCGAGAAGATCTGGGAAGGAGTCAGCCAGAGAGTCTTGGGCCAGAGTTCCAGGGGCTCTGGGAGTGGCTGCCAGGTGAGTTGAACAGTCCGATTTTCAGTGGGGTCCCACACAGATGGGACGCGGCTTAGGAGGAATCCCGGGCAGTGGGCATTCCTTGGCCCAGTGGCCAGATTTCCGGCATGTGTAGCAAGCTCCTGTGGGAGGAGGTTCTGGAGGAATGCCTGGCCGCTGTGGTTCAGGCATTTGGAAATTCTTGTGTGCTGGAGATGTGGCTGGGGTTTGTCTCACAGTGGAGGCAAGGAATTGCAACTTTTTTCTATTATTGTACACCTTGAAGGCGAGGTTAATTAAATCCTGTTGTGGGGTTTAGGGCCGGAATTTAATTTTTGGAGTTTTATTTAATGTCGGGAGCAGATTGGATAATAAAATATATTTTGAGAATAAGATGGTCTTTTGACTTTTTAGGGTCTAGGGCTGTAAAGTGTCTCAGGGTTGCTGCCAAACAAGTCATGAACTGGGCTGGATTTTTATATTTGATGAAAAAGAGCCTAAACACTATCTGATTTGGGATAAAGAAAAAGGAGCATTAACCTTGACTATGCCTTTGGCTCCAGCCACCTTTTTAAGAGTAAATTGCTGGGCAGGTGGGGGAGGGCTAGTCACAGAACGAAACTGTAAGCCAGACCAGGTGTGAGGAGGGGAGGTGATAAAAAGATTACAGGGTGCAGGAGTGGAGGCTGAGGAAGAATTGGGATCTAGCTTGGGCTGGTGACGAGGGGAGAGGTCAGATGGGTCTGTAGAAAAGGAAGATTAGAAAGACTCAGCGACGCTTGGGGTTGGGACTGAGGGGACAGGCGGGAGGAAAGAAGGAAGATTTGGGACGAGTTGCACTGGGCACAGAGACTAGGAAGGGACTGATGTGTAAAAGAATGCCTGGACTTCAGGCACCTCAGACCATTTGCCCATTTTACGACAAGAATTATTTAGATCTTGTAGGATGGAAAAATTGAAAGTGCCATTTTCCGGCTATTTGGAACTACTGTCGAGCTTGTATTGGAGTCAAGCGGCATTGCAGAAGAAAATAAGGCATTTTGGTTTTAGGTCAGGTGTGAGTTGAAGAGGTTTTAAGTTTTTGAGAACACAGGCTAAAGGAGAAGAAGGAGGAATGGAAGGTGGAAGCTTACCCATAGTGAAGGAGGCAAGCCCAGAAAAAAGAGTAGAGACACGGAGAAGGGGTGGGGGGGGGTTCTTGCCCTCCAGAAAAGCAGAAAAGGGGTTGGGACACGGAAATAAGGGATTGGGGCACAGAGATAAGAGGTCAGGGTGCAGAAATAAGGGATTGGGGTGCAGAGATAAGAGGTTGGGGTGCGGAAATAAGCGATTGGGGGTTTCTTGCCCCCTAGGAAAGTGGGACTTGCTGCTGAGGTTGAAGGAGAAGGGGTTGAGGGGTACTTTCCCCTGCCCCAGGAAAGCGGGACTTGCTGCTAAGGGTGAAGGACCAAGGTGGGCGTCCCTGTGTGGTCTGACACCCTTGAAATATGAGTGTATAATCAGAGAGGCATCCCTGCAATGATTAAACACCAAGGGAAGGCTGCCTTCCCAGTCCGTGACAGGCGCCGGAGTTTTGGGTTCACGGATAAAACATGTTTCTTTTGTCTCTACCAGAAAATGAAAGGAATTGAAATTAAGAGAAGGGAGAGACTGAAGTGTGGCGCCAAGATTGAAAGGAGAAAGAGGTTGAGGGATAGTGAGGGAGGTTGGAGAAGAGAGTAAAAAGAGGCCACTTACCGGATTCGAAATTGGTGGGGTGTTTCCTGGGCTGGTTGGACTGAGGACCTGAGATCGTAGGTGGATCTTTCTCATGGAGCAAAGAGCAGGAGGACAGGGGATTGATCTCCCAAGGGAGGTCCCCCGATCCGAGTCACGGCACCAAATTTCATGCACGTCTGTGTGAAGAGACCACCAAACAGGCTTTGTGTGAGCAACATGGCTGTTTATTTCACCTGGGTGCAGGCGGGCTGAGTCCGAAAAGAGAGTCAGCCAACCAAACCCATTTTCTAAACTGATGTTTTTACTTTCATTTGCTAAATATTAGAAAAGATACACACATCATTTCAAAAATGGTATCACCCTTCAGCAGTTTACATATATCTTATATATGAGTTCCTTGAAGGTAGGAAGCATAAATTCAAAAGAGCCTTTAAATAGAAGGCAGAAACACCTCTCTGAATTCAGAAGTCCTGTATGTCTGGTCTAACAATTTCAAAAGTTGGCTGCATTTCCCAATACAAGTCAATTTTCCATAGTAGATCTGAGTTACATTATTATAAACTTGGGGTTTTAGGCTAAAACCATTTACATCTCTGTATCAGTCCATTTTCATACTGCTATGAAGAAATACCCAAGACTGGGTAATTTATAAAGAAAAAGAGGTTTAATGGACTCACAGTTCCACATGGCTGCAGAGGCCTCACAATCATGGTGGAAGGTGAAGGAGGAACAAAGGCACATCTTACATAGCAGCAGGGAAGACAGCATGTGTAGGGGAACTGCCTTTTATAAAACCGTGAGATCTTGTGAGACATATTCAGAATCATGAGAACAGCACAGGAAAAACCTGCCCCCATGATTTAATTACCTCCCACTGAGTCCCTCCCATAACACTATGGGGATACTGTGAGCTACAATGCAGGATGAGATTTGGGTAGGGACACAGCCAAGCCCTATTAACCTCTTTTAGTTATTCTTCTATAATTTCTTGTTATATCCTTTTATTTTCCACCTTAATGATAACATGTTAAAAGAATCTGACAAATTTATTTGAGAATGAGACACTTCTTTGATGCTATGTTTGTTAACCTCACAAAAAGAAATTATCCCATCCCCTGATGAATAAAAATCTAATTGTTATCATTTTTAAATTAGTATCATATTTAATTAATAATACCTACTAAGGCAAGGTTTTTGAGAGACTGAAGCTTTGAATGGGTGCATTTTGATGGAGAACTGAGCTGAGGAAGAAACTACTCACTAACCACAGGCTTCCATGAGTGCGTGGCATTGCACTGTGTGAGGAGTATTGGAACACAGGCACAGTGTAATAGATGTCCCTCTACACCCACCCCCCAAAACATACACACTTTTGCTAAAGCATTTGAAATTTCAGAAATTTCAGATATTTAAAGCTTCTGTTGTTGTATCAGTTGGTGAAAAATGCTTTCTTCTAACCCATCCTGATTTGCTCTCTGGGAACTCCAGCCATTAGGGTTCAAGAATATACTTAGGTTTGGACAATTTGAGATTTGGAAAAGGAACTTTATTTCTGATATGAGTAATAGAAGTAAGCAGACAACATTTCTACTTACATGGTGAATTAGACATTAATGTTTATAATCTGAACCCTGCTGGAAAGAATCAAAATATAACCTGCAAGCGCAAAAAGAAAACGAGAGAAGATGACACTAATAATTTCCTGGAAGCTACAGAGATGTCCAATGCATAGTAACTGACTTAGAAGGCCAGAAAACAATGAAACCTAAACTAGCATAGGTAATTCCTAAAGTGAGGGCATTACCACCACAGAGCTGCAAAATGCATAAAGAATTGAGGAAGGAAAATACCTCTGAAAACCAAAGCTGGAAAAGTCGCTGAAAAGCATATGATTAGTTGAAAAATTATAGAAGACTCACTAGACATTCATCTTTTCTTCCCCACCTAAGAAGAAAACTAGAGAGTTATTCCTTATAGATGATGAGCCAGAGAGACTCTGATCTTGGTGGCATCAGGAACAGTTGAGGACTGGGCTGTCATAACTAAATGAGAAATGAGAAATGAGAATACTGAGTTATTTTTCCCTTAAGGCTTCCAGAATGCTGGCAACCAGGCTTAAAGTTTTAAGGCAGGAGGATGGATGTTTCTTCTTTAGGTAAACTGACTAACTTGAAAGAAAATACCTGTAGAAATAAACAGATGCTCCTCCTAAGAAACAACTCAATAAGATTATCCTGAAGAGAACAGTTTGACAAGCCCAGGCTACAAATAAAACATTACTAGTCAACTTTTTGTGGTTTCGTCTTAAATAGGAGGAGAGTGCTACGTATCACAAAACATTTGAGAGGATCCTATAACACTAGAGGCTCAAAACAAATAAAAACCAAAAAAGGACACAGAAGAAATTATCTGCACATTATATCCCCATGACATGCAGTTTACCTATATAACAAACCTGCACAGGTACCCCTGAACCTAAAATAGAAGTTAAAAAAAAGAAGAAATAGGCAATGCAGAGAGTAAAGCAAAGAAACACTTAAAACAACCACTACAATCTTGTTGTTTCTTTACAGCTCCTGAAAATGTTATTGGTGTAGACTCAGAACCTTGTAGCATCTCCAAAGAGTGCTGTAACTCATAGAATGAAAATTATTATGGCAGGGTAGGCTAAGGAAGGATTCCTGGTGCCAACCCTTTCTGCCAAAATAGACCTCTGAAGCAAATATCTCATCCCTGAAAAAAGTCAGTTTGTGTCACCACCAAAAAACTTAAAGAGAAAATAATTTCTATTAAAGAAATAAAAAAACATACACACACACAACTTTTAAGTCTCCAGCTCAGGAAACACAGCAGAGGAGAGACAGTTTGAGGAAAAAACAGGAAATTATTGCAAGCTTAGTGTTATAGGTTAGATTATTTTGGAAGCAGAAGAGTTAGAAGTACAAAAGATTTATTGGGCTGTAATAGCTGTGAAAGGAAAGGAAGATGAAGCAGGGTTGGGCAAGGTAATTCCTACAACCATGATGCAGATCTGACAAATCTCTTGACAGGCAGCTCCAGGGCAAAGATGGCCCATTAGGGAAGTCCTACATTGGGCAAAAATGTCTGGGCTACGTTGCAACTCACCACTTTAGTAAAACATTTACTGGGACCAGCCTGAGAAGAGGAGTGTAACCTCTCAGCTTCAGAGAGAAAATGGAAGCTGGAGGTGCTACTAGCCAGAGGCAGGCAGCTTACACCTGGGCAGCAAGTCTATTTGAAGGAGAACCTAAGTAGAACATCTTAACAGTTCTCATACTTACCAGAGCATGACTGTTCCAATATGCTCCCCTCATTTGAGAAATTCAAAATAGCCATTTACATTTTGACATTGCTATTGATCTGATGAATATTATTTTTTTATTTTATTCTAATAAACTGAAAATACAAAAATTATTCCAAAGTTATTTGGCTAATAAAAGTACACCTTTGCTGTTATGTATTAGGATTATGTAGTCTTTTTAGCTCTGTATCACAACTTAGTCTGAAAATAACCTTGAGTATCTAATTAACCCACAGGACATTATGTGAATTGACTGTAATGATGATATCCTGTTCATAGGACCTAGAAAGCAGAAAGTAGTGGTATCACAGATGGCTCAGTATGACATGTGCACTTAATAAGTTTAGAGATAAACCTCCTTTAGATATATGCCACCTCCATGAAGTTTTAGTGGACCTAATAATCTGGTACATGTCGGGATATCACCTGCAAATTCTAGAACATTGCTTAACCCCCAAACGAACAAACACAAAAATACAGTCAGTGCTTGGTGTGTATCCTTGAGTATCGAGAGCAAAATAAACCACATTTTGGTGGGCCACTCTGGCCCATTTCCCAGATGACCTGAAAAGTCTTCCAGTTTGAAGGGGGAAAGAGTAGGGGATAAAAAGGGAATCTATTCCAGTAGGTAAAAGTATAAGCAGCAGTGCCACCTTGGTCCTTACGGATGAATAGCCCCAGGAGTACTTTGAATATCTTGGAAAGATGAAGATGTTATATTATACTTGTGACATGATCAGGCATCCATCATATAACATCCTCCATCATATAATATCTTAAAACCTCTGCGGAGCCCCAATGGAGGTTTTAAAGCAAAACGATACCATCTTCTGTAATTAACTTCCCATCATTTAAGGAAGAGTTTTTCTATCCTACCTATGGCTAAGAGAGAATAAATGCATAATTTTAAAGCACCAATGACTCTGCATCCCAAACTGTCCATAGTAAAATATTTATTTATTCCATTGTTGTATGAGGATGGGCGTGCCTAGCAACCTTTCATAATCATGTGAGATCAGATGAAAGTGATAGATCTAAATCAAAAGGGTACTAAAGGCACAGGATTGTACATATGTTTAATGGGCTACTTCTCATTCAATGTCACCTCTCCTTTAATCTGTAACTGTAGCCTCATAAGGAGTTACCTATGACCAGTAGTTGTCTAAGCAGAAAAAAAAAGCAAAAGCAAAACCATAACAAGAGCATTTTAGATATAGATCGGCATGATAAATTGACATCCAATGGAAGTTGATTGCTAACACATTCCAAGCTGAATCAGAAGTGGACACTGAGAAAATGTGGGCAAGGAAAACTGCCAATGATTTACAAATGGTGAAATAATAATTTGACTGCATGGTCAAGGACTTGGATGGAGCTAGAATTCACTCAGGCAAAGACACCTGCAGAAGACTTATATAAACTGATCTCTTAAGATGGTCCCAGAATTTGATAGTGGTTTCCCAGATGAATGTTTACTCACTACCTTTCCTGTGAGAAAAGGTTAAGAAAAGGTAGGCAAGGTAACAGTCAGATTCCTTCACCACTTCTCCAGGAATTTCTCAATAGGCTTGTGAATTAAATAGTCATGAAAACTATACATAGGTTTAGTAATAAGAACTTCCTTTCACAAGGTTGACTTATCTCTTGCCACTGGCAATCTTAGAAGCAGCAGCAACCAACTTTTGGCCTCCAAATGATAATATGACAGTTGAAGAAAGAATCCACATTGCAACAGGTTGATTGCAGTGAACCACCATTCATCAGGTGGAAAACAGTAATTTATCCTAACTTGAAAAATATCCCAGGTGGTATTTGCTTCTTCTAGCCCATACTTATTTGCCTAAAACGTTACCTGAAAACTTTTTGAATGACCTACATATCATTTTGTTAACTTATTCAACATATACTCACTTTTCAAGGAAAGAATGATGAAGCAATGATATTTATAGAGATCATTGGTCTTATTGTGTATTTCATCACTGAAGAAGATAGACTTGCAGAATGGCAAAATGGCAAGAAAAGCTCATGTAGGCTTCAGCTTAGAGGGAATGTTTTTATCATGTTGAGGTGTTATGGTATAGGATGTATAGCATGCATTCCTGGATAGATACATAGATTTAGAAACCAAGGAACAGAAATAGAGGTTGCTCCATTTATAATTACTCCTAATTACCTGCTGGTGACATTTTAGCTTTCAGACTATGACTCTGGACTCTATAGAGTCAGAAACTTTAATGTTCACAGTAAAAATGCTTCCATCAGAGGACACAATACTATTCCGGACACAGGTTCAATTACATTGGCAACTAGGTTTTGGCCATGTTTTGCTTCTCTTGTCAGTGAGTAAACAGATAACACAAAAAGTTATTACATTGTTGGGTTATCTATCCTATCAAGGGAAAATAAGGATGCTCTTCAGCAAACAGACCTGGAGCACTCTAGAAACAACCCAGATAATCCCTGTGGTGGTTGGTTACCTTATCCTACTCTATTTGGTATTAAAAGTTAATATAAGAATACAGGAAGCATATCTGGAAAGCACCAATATAGACAGATTCCTCACAAATGAAGCTGTGGTTCCTCAATTAGTTAACAAATTATAATGACAAATTATAAATGACTAAATTGTGGAAGCATTATCAACCACACAAAGCTAGCTATTCTTATTTATTCTCTACTGGATGATGTGACTGTAACTTTGCACATGGACAGGCTGAGTAGATGCTATCCATATGTGATAGTGACCTGTTCAGGGAAAATAGCCCTGTTGGAAAGACTTGGCCATTCTTAGTTCTTGGAAGCAATAATAGGGTCATTTCTCACTGCCTACATGACATGGTGTGCTCCAGAGAGAGAGAGGCAGGCTTTGACCCCAGAGCTATTCTCTCACCCTTTCTTTTATAAGACTTGTCAAAAGACTAAGGCAAAGTGAAAAATGAACCAGACAGCAACGGGGTGAAAAATGAACTTAGGGGTTATGAGTTGTAATTGACTCTGATGTGACTGGGAGACATTTTCATTATGTGCAAACTGACTGGGGAATAGTGGGTGCCTTTTCTTTTTTAAAAAAACAATGAATTGGAATGGGGTTTCTTTTCTATCTTCTGAGTAAGAATCCAATGGTCGGTCTTTCATTATTGGTCAGTATTTTTGAAATGCCTGAGGATTACTGGCACTCCAAAAAAACAGGCCAGAGAAATTCATTTCTGAGATAAACAGTTTATGTCCTATGGTGTCTTCAGCAGGGAAGAGTCTCCAGGGATTCCACTCATAGCATTCTGTGTTGGGTAAAGCGAACATCCAGTTGTAAGTCAATCTGTACATTTTACTGGATGCCAGAAAAAATGAAATTCTTTCAAATAGACAGCTCATTCAAATATCCTTTTATCTATTCATCTATCCATCCAACCATCTAGGTATTATAATTAAATTCACTTATTTCTTGAAGGATTATAATGCATTCAAAATTACATAACTTTTATTAAAACCATGAGAAACAGAATCATAAATCAAATAAAAATCTGAACT
Organism: Homo sapiens; assembly: GCF_000001405.40. Taxonomy (NCBI): domain Eukaryota; kingdom Metazoa; phylum Chordata; class Mammalia; order Primates; family Hominidae; genus Homo; species Homo sapiens. The sequence goes on along the minus strand of NC_000011.10, from coordinate 42,114,412 downwards.
GTAAAGGAAAATAGACTTATGTAAATATAAATTAATATATATTATATATGTGAAACATGTGATATATTTATATTGCAACTAAATGTATAAATTATACATAATTATAAAAATGTTATATATTATATAGTATTACACATGTCTATGGAATATTGATATATAACTTATATTATACATATTATATATGTCTATATAGATATTATCTATGGCATAATGCATGCATATATAATGCAGAACATAAATATGCATAGATTATATATGCATTGTAATATATACATATAACAAATATGTAAGATATATGCATATCTTATATATGTATATATTATAAATGTATACATATATGTCATATATAGCATACATATATAAGATATGCATATATTATATATGATATGTATATATTTGTAATATATGCATTATATAATATATAATATATAGATATGAGATATATACATTGCTTATATATACATACATCATAATACATACATATAATGTACATATAGCATTATGTACATAGATTTTATATATATACCTACATTGTAATATATACATGTAATACATATATAAGATATATGCATATATCTTTATCATTATAATAAATGATAAATGTGCACAGCATGAGGTGGTATGGTTTTGGAATAGTCAGAAAAACTCCTAAGGAGAGGTAATTATGTAAGTACTTAGTCTGAATTACGGTGGTGAGTAGAAATTAGATCTGTCAGAGGTGGAGGGAGAGATTAGGTAGAGGGTTATGGATAAAATTAGTACGATGTGTTGGTGGAGATATTGGGGTGGATGACTTGACTTTTCTTGCTGCATCGGAAAGTAAGGGCTGGCAACAATTACTAAGGTGTATTCATTCTTTAATGACAAACTTCACAACTGTAATCCTTGGGCAAATACTTAGGTGGTTTTTCCTCCAGTTTGCTGTTGTTATTGTTTGGGTTTTATTTCAATCGCTTATGTTTTGTCTAGTTGCTTTTTTGTTTGCTTGAATTTATTTTCCTGAGTTGTAGAAAATTAATGTGTCTTTGCATTTATTCCCCACCTGACAATCATCCATGAAGAGAGTATGGTGGTGTCTCTGGGCAGTGCAGGAAGAGTTCAAATTCTGAAAATGTGAAGCTGACTCAGTTCTTCAGACCTCAGTGCAGTCTCTTCCAGTGCATTTGCTTGCTCTTTCTCACTCAGGTTTCTTCAATATGTATTGGCAAATCTTCACAGCTTTTACCCTTGTTGAACTGCATAGCAGACCCCTACTAATTCCTAAACTGCAAATTAAATGCTTGAGGCTGAACAGAGATCAGATTAAAAACTTCACACTTCATAGACACCAGCCCAGCAGGAGCAGTCAGACTCCTTAAGCCATCCTGAAGGAGTGAAAACAGGCTGCTCTTGTGTGGAAACCCATTAAAGCAGGATGTATAGGAGTTGTAATGTGATATTAAAGCTAATTTCCTACAGGCTGAGAGCTTCCTGGGACACGATAAATGATAATAATAATATTGTATAGTCTTGTTAAAACATGCTTTATCCACAACTTAATATGACTTATTATTTAACAAGAAGAGTGTTGGCTATAATCTCTTTGACATCTACCAGCGCTTAATAAAATGAAATTAATATTACATTGAAATCCTTTGCTAAGGGGCTTTAATGCAGCAAGAGACTGTGTATGCCAGAGTGCAAGTTGTCTCGAGATATAATTACTCATAATACACTTCTGAGCTGTTTTTGTGATGCATCTTATTAATAAAATCATCTCTCTGAGAAAATATAAAATAGAATATAACTAGCAATTGGAAAGCCCCCAAATTATTTTTTGAAATTTATTTACTCATTAATTAATATATTATTAAATTGGAGCAAAAAGAATGTAACCATTTTAATGAAGTATATATGAAGTTAGGAGCTTCTGTTCTCAATGCCTTACAGACCTAATATAGAAATTTATTTTCTCATACTCTCATTATATCATTCAGTTAGTTTTAGTGACCTGTTCCCAACTGATGGATTAGAATTGTATAGTGTTTCAACAGGAGTCACAGCAAAACTCAGTGGCTGAAGTATAAATATTTGATATGCTAATACATTATACATAACACCAAAGCCTCTGACATGAACTGAGCTTCTCTGTTATTCAACATGACAGAAGCTGTTGGTGGCTTGTCCTACAGTTAATTTTGTCATCTTCATTAGTAACCAACTCCTGATATTTTAAAAAGTAATCTATGCCCACCTTCATAGGATAAATTATATTGATTGGACAATTGTGGGAATTCTATTCCTTTCTTTCTGTGATGAGAGGGAGTGAAACCTAATTCTAACCAGTATAGAAGAGCTAACCATCTAGAGGCTTCTGGAGAAAAAAAAAAAAATCTCCCAATGAAAAAAGAGAGCCATAGAGAGGAGATACTTTTCCCCCATCACTTTCTTTCATTATTTGTAGATATGATGCTTGGTGCCACAGCAGCCCTGTCACCAGCTGATAGAATAGCATCACAAATACACTGCAGATGGCAGATAATCTAGCTGATGTTACAATGATAAGACAAGATGTGGTGGTGGCTAGAATGAGATAATGTCAAGAAAAACGAATGGAACTAAGTAGTATTTTATTAGGGAAAATCAACAGAACTTGGGACATGACCAAAGATTAGCAATGAAAGAGAAGCGAATATGCAAATTGATAAGATGACTCAAAGAAATAATACAGAATTACAGAAAAATGAATTTTGTAAAACACCCTGAGTAACATCAACTTAAGTTCCAGGCAAGGGAAGAGGAAACCATAAAGGAATTGATGAGTATCTGGGGACATAGTAGTAAATTGTGGTGTATGTGGCAGCACAAAATTAAGGAAAGGAGTTGTTTCAAGTTGGTGAGAATGGTCAACACTAATAAATATTGAATGAGAATAGGTCAATACATTCATTGATTAAGAATGCCTAAAATATTTGATAATGAAGGACCTCTTGCCCTTGGCGTGAGCAGTTTTGCTGGGACTGTAGCCTAAGAGTTACCAGAAAATTCGAGGGCCAAATCAAGTCTCTGAAAGAGACTAATCTTCCGTTGCTGGTCACTCTAATAGTTCACTATTAGAGTGCACTAATCTTCCATTGCTGGTCACTCTAATAGTTCATTAAAAATACTAGATGACAGCACCAATATCGTTTGTCTTGGTAGCCTAAGAACTATAAGTGAAGCAGGAAATGCAGAAGCTTGCTGATAATGAATGGACATAAGAATAGGACCAGATGTAAGAAAGCAGCCAGAGACCAAAGGCCAAGGAGAAACCATAGGCTTGAAATTTAAAAGCAATTCATAAGAGAACTATTTTAGAATCAGGAACTTCAGTGGGGCTAGTGAAACCAGGCAGATGTCTACCAAAAAAATCAATTTTTATTTCATTCTATGTCCTTACCTTGGATCATCTCATCATTATACATAATTTTAATTACTGTTTATGATTATGACTCTGAAATATATACTTCCCATCTATACCTTGCTTTTGAGCTACAAACCCATATATCTAATGGCCTAGAGACCGTCTCATCTTAAATGTTCTACAAACACCAAAAATTCATCCTGCAAAATTGAAATCATAATCCGTCTCCTTCAAACCTGCTTTTCATTTCCTCTCTCTCAATTGATGTTCTTTTAATTCATTTAGATAGCTAAACATTAAATGATGTGTTTGTGTATCTTCTTTTTTTATTGTTAACTTCTAATCATGCACTAAGTCTTGTTGATTTCATTTGCTAAATACCCTGCAATTGCATTCACTTATTTTTATCTTCCTTGACATTACTTCATTCTAGGTCACCATCACCTCTTATCTGATCATTGCAACACTTGCTTACTTGTCCTCCTATCACCAGATCTGGCTCCTGACAATTCACCTTGCGTAATGTAAGTAGAATGGTAATTTCAACATGTATAATTAATTTTGTCATTCTCCTTATTAAAACTCTTCAAAGGTTCTCCAGTGCTCTTAGAAGAAAGTCTAATTTTATTAACCTGTTTTTAAGACTGTTATAACCTGGACCTTACTTATTTCCGAAGTATTGTTTCTCACTACTCTCCTTGCTTCTAACTCCAGCCTCACTGGCTTTTTTTCATTTCCTCAAACTGAAATATCAGAAGTTACTTGTTCACGTAAATACTTTGTCTCTCACAATTTAGATTCAGGTGCTTTATTATATGTGTCCCTAGTGCACCCTAAAGATCCCTTAAAAGTCCACTCATATTGTATTATAATTATATTTATTAACTTCTCATCCACAAACTATAAGATGACATGAAGCATTCTGACCCATTTATCAATGTCTTCTCAAAATATAGTGTGCTAAGCAGAAAAGTTTTCAATAAATAGTATTGAATAACTAAGTAATTGAAAAATAAAACATTGTCTTGGATTTCACAAAAACTAGACAAGACTTTAAGCCATATTTGGCATTTCACAGCAGGCATGCCACCATCCATCAATGCTACACACAGAGTAGGTATCCCTAACTGATGATGCCGCTTTTCTATGTTGAAGCCAATGGGGCTTTACAATCCTTCTAAACATGTAGTCACTATCAACCATCTGGAGTTGGCATGTGAGATAAAAGTTATTTTTCTTCTATATCTTGAACTATACAGACAAAATCCAAATGAATAACTTAATGTCCTTAAGTTTCACTTACATTCATGGCTTTTTCTATGTGTTGACACCATAAATACTTCTTTTTTTTTGGAAGCATGAAAAAAGCTGCTGCTTATAAAATGTATAATTCTAGATTTTAAAAAATCATTCTACAAAATATCAAAATTTTCCTAATGAAGCTGGGTAATAAAACTTAGTATCCATGGTTTGTGTTGGATTTGGAGAGCCTTAACACGTGAAATAAGCATAAGTCATTCAAAACATTCATTCATCAAACACAGTCATTCCACAGAGATTTATTATTACTGTGGGCTCAAAACTGCCATGGTTGCTCTGGTGAATAGAGTATGCCTGCACCTCTGAAGAGCTTACATTATATCTAAAGAAAAATCATGTAAGTGACTAAGGACAATAACGTGTGTGAAGTGCTGTGAATGAGTGATGCACAAAGAACTGTGGGGTGACATAGGAAGAACCAATGAATAGTGACAAGGGCAGGGACAAAAGCTCCACTGAAGAAGTGATCTGTGACATGGAGCTGAACCTCCAAGATGAGATCTTAGTGCTTTTCTGCAGCCCTCAACACAGCCCTAGTCATCCATTCAAGATCCTTCTGTCTTCAAAGCCTAGTTTCTTCCTGCATCTTTTCCTAAGTCTCCAAAACCTTTTCTTCTGCTCTCCACTTTAAAATGATGACTTTAATTTCTGTTTCACCAAGAAAATAAAAGACACCTAGCAAAGAACTCTAGAAGTTTCTGACACCATTCTATCTACCTTCGGCTCTAAGACCCTGTGATCCTTTGATACCTATCCAATCTCCTCCCCTATTGTTCTCCCTACCATATTCTCCCCTGTAGGCACATGGGCCTCCTCAGTGTTTCTCCAACGAACAAGGCATATAATCCTGCCTCATGGCTATGGTACTTACTGTTCCCTATACCTGAAATTCCTTCCCCATTTATTTGAAGCACTTGACCTTTCACATCATTCAGGTCACAGCTGAGCAGCTACCTTATATCTAAAGTCAGCCCTGGTTGCCTTGTATATTACCATTTCTCTCCACAACCTTATATTCTCCCAACCCTGCTTCATTTTTTCCCATACCACTTACATCTAAACACACTATCTACATTCTCTATCCTGTTTAATGTCTCTGTCCACCACTAGTAAATAAACTTTATGAGGACAAAAACATTAACAGTCTTATTCATTGTTATCTTCCAAGAGAATAATTATTTAATTAATTACTTATTTAATTAATTACTGATATCTTACCATTGCCTAAAATAGAGAGTGCCATATATTGGATACTCAATACCTATTTTTGAATGAAAAAATGCACTGAAAGAGTAGAAATTAGCACATAAGCTATATTCTATAAATAATGTTAACAAAATGAATTAATATTAAGAAAAGCAATACATTCATAATGGATAATGCAATGCAGTGGAGAGAAAATAAGCAAAGATCATAAAATAACCTTTAAGAACAAGTATTTGATCAACACCTGTGGAAGAAAAGAAAAATAAAATAGCAAGTATTTGAGGTGATGGACGTGTTAACTAGTTGATTTAATTATTCCACTTTATATAAATGATTCTACATCTCATAAAGTTATACAATTATAAATTCTCCCACTGTCTGTTGTTGTTTCCCTCTGTGTGTCCATGTGTTCTCATCATTTACTCCTACCTATAAGTGAGAACATGCAGTATTTGGTTTTCTGTTTCTGTGTTAGTTTGTTAAGGATAATGGCCTCCAGCTCCATCAGTGTTCCTGCAAAGGACATGACCTCATTCTTTTATATGGCTGCATAGTATTCCATGGCATACGTGTTCCATATTTTCTTCACCCAGTCTACCATTGATAGGCATTTAGGTTGATTCCATGTCTTTGTTATTGTGAATAGTGCCACAGTGAACATACGTGTGCATATGGGTGGAGGGTTGGAGAAGAGAGACAATCAGGAAAAATAACTAATGGGCACTAGGCTGAATACCTGGGTGACAAAATAATCTGTATAACAAACCTTCATGACATAAGTTCACCTATATAACAAACTTTCACATGTACCCCTGAACTTAAGTTAAAACAATTACAACTTATTTATTTACAATTTTAAGTAAACAGTAAGTCTGTGCCTTATTATCTTTGTAGCTCTAAAGTCTGCCACCGTATCTGGAAAGCAGTAAATATACAGTGAATGAATTTCCACAGTATCTGGATAGCAGTAAATATATAGTGAATGAGTAAGTGTAAAATAAATACTACTCATATACCCATTAAGGCCATTAAGTCATACTTGAATATTTATTTGTTTATTTTGTTTGTTTTTTCTGAGGTAGAACCCCACTCTGTTGCTTGGGCTGGAGTACGGTGGCATGATCTCACTTTACTGCAACCTCTGCCTCCTGGGTTCAAGTGATTCTCATGCCACAGCCTCCTGAGCAGCTGGGATTACAAACATGCACCACCATGCCTGGCTAATTTTTGTAATTTTAGTAGAGTTGGGGGCTTCACCATGTTGGCCAGGCTGGTCTTGAACTGCTGGCCTCAAGTGATCCAACCAGCACGGCCTCCCAAAATGCTGGGATTACAGGCATGAGCCACAGCGCACAGCCATACTTGAAAATGTAACAATATGTGTCAATATTTTCAATAAATATCTTATGAAAGAGACAGGTTATATAACTTCCTGCAGAGTGTAATTCCAGTACATAAAAGAATATATTGAAGATAACTATAGGCATAGAAGAGTAGAAGAATAAATAAACAAATTGTAACAGTGGTTATTTCTAGGTTATGAGACAAAAATGAGTCATCTTATACTTTGCACATATTCATGTTTTCTATAATTTGTATTTTAAAATCAATGATAAACATGTCATAAAAATCACATTATGGCATAAAAATAGGAATGGGAGAAGTAAGAAAATGAAGACAACAATTGGTGATCTGGGTCCTAAGACTGCCTTTTCCCATTAGTGCAGCTTTATGAACAATCCAAACAGTTGGTGTTGTACACAAAGACTGAGCTGCCATCAGCAGTTTTCAAAATGTTGCTTGAACTCCTGTCAAGTAACAGGATATTCATTCATCTTCATCAGCTATAAATTTGGAATTGCAATTCAATTTAAAAGTATTTATTGAGACCTTAATATGTGCCAGGAGCTTTGCCAGGCATCGGAGACACAAAGACAAGCAAGACATAGTCTGTGACCTCATGGCTTTCCATTTAAACGAGGAGAGGAATGTTTTTTTTTTGTTTGTTTGTTTGTTTTTGTTTTGTTTTTTTTTTTTTTTGGAGATGGATTTTCATTCTTGGTACCCAGGCTGGAGTGTGATGGTGCAATCTCGGCTCACTGCAACCTCCACCTCCTGGATTCAAGCAATTCTCCTGCCTCACCCTCCTGAGTAGCTGGGATTACAGGTGTGTGCCACCCCACCTGGCTAATTTTGTATTTTTAATAGAGATAGGTTTTCTCCATGTTGGTCAGGCTGGTCTCGAACTCCCGACCTCAGGTGATCCGCCCACCTCAGCCTCCCAAAGTGCTGGGATTACAGGCATTAGCCACTGCGCCCAGCTGGCATGCTTTAAAAAATAATAATAATAATAATAAAGCAAAACATAAGCAAGCATTAAAAAACCACCAAAATTCAGTGTACTTATTATAATAAAATATCTATGAAGGCAGAAATCATGTCTGCTTTATCCACTTCTGCATCCCTTGTTCCAAATGTAGTGCCCCAAATGCAGAAGGCAACCAACAGCTATTTCTTCCATTTTAAGTTAATTAAAGATAAGTGAAGCTCTAGAAGTACTATCAAATTACACAGTATTGTGAAACAAAATGCCTTATTCAAATGAAATATGGATTACTAGTTTTAAGTTCTTAGAGGTAATTCTGTGAATGTTAATTTTTTTTTTTTATTGGAGATGGAGTCTTGCTCTGTCACCCAGGCTGAAGTGCAATGGCACAATCTTGGCTCACTGCAACCTCCGCCTCCAGGGTTCAAGTGATTCTTCTGCCTCAGCCTTCCAAGTAGCTTGGATTACAGGTGCGCACCACCACACTCCACTGATTTTTGTATTTTTAGTAGAGGAGGAGTTTCACCATGTTGGCCAGGCTGGTCAACCTCAGGTGATCTGTCCGCCTCGGCCTCCCACAGTGCTGAGATTACAGGTGTGAGCCACTGTGCCCAGTTTTTTAAATGGGCAGTTCTTATATTTGAAAAGTAAAATCTCACTAAACACATGCTGCATTCAGCATAGATGGGAGAGTACTGGCAGGTGGAAAACTTCTTTGAAGACCTGCTTATAGCAGGTGATTTTTTCATTATAGCACCAATGGTGTGGAGGAATGAACATATCAAACAGATAACATGTAGAGAAGGAGGAGCATAGATTTTGAGTTGGAAAAGCAAATAATTTAACCATAGCTCTCTATCTTCTGGAATTGATGGTAGTAGAAACATTAGAGGGTTATTTTGAAAATTAAATAATATATGAAAATATCTACAAAAGTTAGACATAATAAATATGATGTATTAGGTTCCTAGGGCACCCATAACAAAGTTCCACATATTGATTGGCTTAGAGAAAAACAATATTTTTTCACAATTCTGGATGCTAGAAGTCAGAGACCAAAGTGTCAGTACCATTAGTTTCTTCAGAGGCCTCCGTCCTTGGCCTGTAGATGCCCATCTTTTCCCTGTTTTTTCACATGGACTTCCCTTTGTGTGGGTTTGTATTCTAATCTCTTCTTTTATAAAGTAATATTGTATTAGGGCTATGTTAATGGCTTCAGTTTAACTTAATTACTTCATTAAAGACAATACGTTTAAATAGAGTCACATTTTGAAAAACTGGGCTTTAAGACATCAAAATACGAGTTTAAAGGAGTCACAATTCAGCCCGTAAAAACATAGTTTCCTTTCTTATGTTCCCATCACAATTTTTTGTAGAATTTTGATGGTCCAAGTCATTGAAAGCCACAGAGAAGTAAAAGAGTCCCTCACGCCAAAGCTAAGGAAGAATAACGGCATGACTTGACAGCATGATTATTCTTCTTTGGGATCAGCATTTATTCTCAGATGTAATCTATGTTTAATGTAGACCCATTATGATGTTTTAGACCTGATAGGAAATGGCTAACTTTATCAGCTACTTTAAAATGTTTGGTATGTGTATACACAGTCAAACTTTTAAGTGGAAAGAAATTGGGGTTCATAGGCTACTTTCAGCTCATCTGATTACTCTTAAAACTTAATTTCCACTAACATGTTGTATAAGTCAGAAACAGATGTAATAAAACTAAGTATATAGATGCTCCATGTTGCAGAACTTACTGATCATCCCAGGCGAACTCAGACAGGTGCAATATTACCAGCGTCATTTTCTGTGCATAGTAAAACTGATATAAAGAGCAGCTCAATAGAAGAGATACAGTCTGCAGTGAAGAGTTTATAACACTTGTCATAATGGATCTGTCAGAAGAAAAAATGTTTACAGTTCATTGCAGAATATAAAATGTTTGCTAAATCAGCAGTAAAAGTCGAAGCTCAGATAAATTTGCAGCAAGGGTAGCAACGCAACACAGCATAACATAAATACACCTAGCAGGAGAGTAGCAGGAAAAAAAAAAGCAGCAACAACTTAGTTCTGAGCAGGATTTGATTTATGTCATATATAAATATAGGGGGTATTAGGAAGATTAGTGCATTTGAGTGTTAACACAAATCAAGATGTCCTGTGCCAAGTGGGATTGCTTGCACAACAATAAACTTTACCAACGCCATGTAAGTTGTTACGGCTTCTTACTGAGCTCATTCCAAGCTGAGAAGTTTCTGCTTGTACCATAGCAATGTTATTATGGTTGGTGGTTTTAGGATGTCCTATTGGAATTCATAAATGTGGACCATTGCCTGACCATTGACTTAGCTCATTCTGAATAAGTGGAAAATTGCCAGATTTTAAGTTTTGAAAAGACAAATAAAGAGGAAAAAAGGGAAGAAAAAGGGAGAGGGAAAGAAAGAAACAAGGAAGGAAGAAAGGAAGTAAAGAAGGGAGGGAGGGAAGAAAGAAAAGGAAAAAAAGAAAAAAAGGAAAGAAAGAAAGCGATGGTGGGTGGACAGATGGGAAGGCAGGTAGACTATAAAAGAAAAGTTAATGTTATTTTAGGAAGTGACTCTTCTTTGATGGTAAGGAGTTAGTTAGGAAGTACATGTAAAGATCTACAATATAACAGAAGGCCCTGGCTGCCATGTTGGTCTTCTGTGGCTCTCCCTTCCTTGGAATTGCTTGTGAATGAAGTAGTCTTGGTGTCATTAAATCTGTAATATGCATGCTCCCCTGGGACATTGCATTCCCTGCAGCCAAAATATTGGTCGTGGAGGGAGGATATGTACTCTCCCTGCTCACAATTGCTGCTTTCAAACCAATCTTCCTCCTACCTTCATAAAAATTTCCACTAACCAGCTTTGCTCTCCTCACCTTCATACTCAAAAATCATCTCCTCATTCCTTGAAGATTTTAGTCCTTGGTTGACTGTTTTACTCTTCAACATTACCCCCATCATAACTATTGGTGATGTTAACACCCATCTAGATATTATTTCCACTAGCTCAGAATTTCAGTTGTTGGCTTTCTCTGACCCAATAACCATGTCCTCCACCCTACATTTACCACTCACTGCCATAGTCACATCTCGTGACTAGTTGCTACCTATAAATGCAATTCCTCAAAATTTCATGCACCCCACACTTACACCATCACCTGTCATCTTTTCAAGTTGCTCCTCAGAGCAACTGATTCTAACACATTTTCTATGCTGCCAGTGCCTTCAGTCTTTTGACCCTACCTCCTTTCCGATGTCCTTTGTTTTCTATCTGTGTTCTTACGTTGATTCCTCCTTAATGGTTTGGATTTTGTGATCCATGATTGTAAAAACTCCCTGTATTCATCCACAATTATCTGGCTATTTTATCATTGGATATACTCTGACAAAATTCTAACCTGGATTACATCTATCTTACCACACCTTAGTTAAGCCTCACACCTGAACATAGCTGGAGAAGCAACATACAGCTATCCTGCCCTGTCTTACTTTAAGACAAGAGACCATTATTCTCAGGTGAACGACTATGACCACTAATCTCTGGTAGACTCTTAGTTTTGTCCAGCAGTCCCAACTACATTGCAGTGTCTGTTCACTCTCCTACATGATTAGTTAACTTCTTTCCTTCTTTCCTTAAAAATCCAACAGTTCCTCTTCCCTCCTCATTCCCAGATGTTTGCTTTACATTCTATTTGACTGAGAAGATATAAGCTAAGGAAATAACTTCCACAAATTTCCATCCAGCTACCTGCATCTTTGCCATTCCTTTCCTCCTGTTCAACAGGAAGAACTGTTTGCGCTCTTCTCTGAGGTCCATACCTCCACTTGTGCACTAGGCCCGTCCTGTCTTATTTGTTTAAGAACCTCATTTCAGTAACTCTCCCATCTCTCCTCCATTATTAATTTTCCTCATTTTCCCATGCTTACCAAACTGGAATAAGATTTCCCATCTTAAGGAACAAAAATGAAAACCTCCCTGTTGGCTTTAATCTCTCCAGTCCTTGTTACAATATCTTCATACCACTTCACAGAATTGTTTCTGTAAATGTCAGCATTTAACTTGTGACTAAACCCCAAAATCCTCATTTTAGTTATCATATTACCAGAATTTGATGCAGTTGATTGATGCACTTGTAATGCTATCTTCCATTGGCTTATAGGGCATTAGAGACTCTTGGTTCTCTCTTATTTTACTGGCCTCTTGATTTCAGTGTCTTTTTCTAGTCATCTTTTATCACCCAAACAATTAAAATTCTCAATTGTTAGACCTCTGTGTCTACATTTACTCTTCCTGGATCTCGTTGTTCTCATGTTGACTCATGAATCTAAATATCACTTATCTGTTGCTGCTCCTCAAATATATGTCTCTATACCCAACTTCCCTCCTGAAATTCTGATTTGTCCATCAGATTTTCTACTCTGCTTCTCTTCTTGGATATGTAAAATGTGTCTTAAACTTCATATGTGCAAAAACTGAAGTCCTGATATCCATTATTATATGCCCTACAAAGTCACTAATTCTATAAGATGACAGTTGCATTATTCCAGTTGCTGGAGCCAAACATTTATAAAAAAAATAGGTGCCAGTGGCCAAACTGTGGCCTTTCTCCATCACTTGATTATCCAGATCTTGATCAAATCTTCCCCCACTATAATAACTCATGAAATGTATAGGAGTATGATACATTCAGAGATTATAGCCAAGGTTATTATGTACAGGAGTAAACACCTGTTATTAGTTGTTGAGATTGTGTATTGAGATTGACTAACCAGAGTTTATAAGACACAGCAGCACCAGAAAATGGGCACTGAGTTAAAGAACTGAAGGGACCTCAAAGCTACTGGCTTTCCTGGGCCGACATCAATCTTTCCCACTCAGCTTCTTTCCTTATTAACTTGTGCATGTGGAATATATAGTGATTTGGGGATTTCAGAAATTGCTCATGTAAGTCAAGATTTCTGCTATGCCATTGCCATAACACAGGAACAGTAAACCAAATACCACATGTTCTCACTTAGAAGTGGGAGCTAAATGATGAGAACACATGGACATGTAGACCAGAACAGAACATACTGAGGCCTTTTGGAGAGTGGAGGGTAGGAGGAAGAAGATGATCAAGAAAAACAACTACAGGGTACTAGGCTTAATACCTGGGGGATGAAATAATCTATACAGCAAACTGACGTAACACAAGTTTACCTATGCAACAAACCTACACTTGTACCCCCGAACTTAAAATAGAAGTTAAAAAAATCTTGTCCTGCATACTTTCTTAAAGCTAAGTAAACATGATACTTATAAAAATTATTGTATCGAATGAATTTGGCCATCAATCAGAAACTAAGACCAACCTTGCTGGTCAAGTGTTATTATAGTTTAGAATCATGTTCCACTCTTCCTTCTCTCATCCCACGTATATAATCAGTCAAAAAGTCTTGTTGGCTGTATCTTCAAAATATATTCAGAATCAGATAAAATCTCACCCATCTTCACTATCTCATTCTGATTCTAGCCACAGACAACTCTCTGCTAGATACTGTAATAGCTTTCCCGCTAGTGTTCCTATTCTCCTTGTTCATTCACCTCTTCTCAAACCTGCAGACAGATATTTTCATGATATGATTCAGATGATGCCATTCTTTTACTGAGAATCCTCCCAGTGACTTTCTATCTCATGCAAAGTAAAAGTCAAGTACTTTTAGTAACTTATAAGATTCTACCTGGCCGGCCTTTACCCCTTTCATATCTTTTCTCTATTACTCTTTCCATAGATCTCTCTATTTCAGCTATGTTGGCATCCTTGTTTCTTCTTGCAAATGAAAAGAACTCCCATCTTGAGGACTTTGCACCTGCAGTTCTTTCTGCTGGAAGATTCCTTCTCACAATGTTCATATGACTTGTCTACTTATCTCCTCTAAGGATTTTGCTCCAGGGTCATCTTCTCAGTAAAGCATTCCCTAGCTATTTTATTAAAAATGTCAACCATTTCCCTTCTGTATTTTTCTTCACACTCCTTAATGGTCATTGTCATATTGAATAGTTTATTTATTTATTTATTACCTGTCTCCCTCTACTAGAAAGCAAGTTCTAATAGGACATGACTTTTTGTTTTATTCATTTCTGTTTTTCTAGTATGTAGTATAAGCCCAGAACTTGGTTGAATAAATATCCATTGAATACATACAGACCATAAAAGTGATGTAGCGAATATTCTGATGCTTCTCACAGGTCCCCATCTCTGAACCAGTGCACTTATATGACTGCTGCTGTGAGTCCACTGTTAATGGCACACATATAGTTCCTTCTCTGAATTATTGACCTTCACCTCCCAGGTGGTACCTGGTTGATTATACCTACCTGGGGGAGCCAATGTATAGCCATATAGCTATACCCATAACCAATGAATAACTTACATAATGGTACAAAAGTTTGCCTCCTTGCCTCCAGAAAAGACTAACTTTGTGGTACATTTATTGTCCAGACACTGGAATCAGTCTGAAGGTAATCTTCAGCTGAAAACATAAGCTAACTTAGCATTGTTCCTTTCTCCATCCTGGTCTCTCCACTCTCCTTCTCCTTGCTCTCCTTTTCTAATAAATCACTTGAATCAGAGACCTCAGCAGTTTAAGCTCTATTTCTAAAGAACCCAATCTAAGATCCCTGAAAACACAATGAGGATTTATACAAACAAATTAGGCACCTGGCTTTCAATCCCTATTTTGAAGAAAAATAGAGAAGGCAGTGAAAAGGAGAAACAACCATCTATAGAACATTTCAATGAACAGCTATTAAAAGTGACATATCATGCCAGCCTGTGGTCTTTTAGTAAGTGTAGAAGGTAAAATAAAATCTCCCAGACTTCCAATTTGGTTTTTGCTTTTATTATATTATCAGGTTTTGAAGAAAATTTAACTTCCAGCTTCAGATGACCTGTAAGAACTTGGTATATTTCTTGAACTCTTTGAGCCACATATAAAGTTTGGAATTAGAACAGAATGCCTAATATGCAGGGCTGAAGTAATAATTATATTACATCATGTAGGTGAAACCACATAACACTTCCTGGCATGTAATCTGTAAATCAGCATAGATTTCCACTGGAGAAGTAAGGGTGGAAGTGACACACTAAAGCAGATTCTTACTATATTTGTTCATAATTATACTTCTTAAAACATTGTAAGCTGAGTTCTTTGGAAAGTAGATTCTAAGACAGAGATTAATTTGCAGTATGTTCACTAAGGAGTGTCTTTGTGATCAACATTCATGGAAGAGAAAGTAGGGAAACAGGATTGGGAAGAAGAAAATGCTATATTGATATGTAGGATCAATGGCAACCTTTACAATCCTAAGAGAACTCTGGAGTTTGATCAGCTTTTCAAATTTCTTCCCTCTTGGATGAGTTAGCAAGTGCTTTATTGTGTTATGTGGAACAGTCAGTGGATATGGCCTACCAGGTAAATGAGTTTGACCTTCAGCAAGGCAGCTCTTTGCAGATGAGACAATCTCTGCAGGTGTTGAGAACTGAAGTCTGGCTGCTGACAACATTCCCAGAAGCTAGAACAAGAAGTTGAAGGAGAATCCAGGTGGCACACAATCTTGGTCCCCACAAATCTTAATATTGAGAAGAATATAGAGACCTTTGTTCTTTCCTTCATTCACTCGCTTCAGGACTATAATTGAGCTCTTATTATGTATATGCCACTGTGGTAGGTAGTCGAGGTATAATGAGGACTAAGACTTGGTCCTTGACCTTGAAGAGTTAATAGTCAAATGTGGCAGGAGAATTGTATGTAAACAAATAAGTAGAAGCTGGTGAGTGCTATTTCAGAAGTAAGAAGGAAGTGCTGTGGGAGCACAAAGGACAGAACAAACAACTCAGCATGGGAATTTGGGGAACACTTCACCTTGGCTTCACCACTTATTTGTGTCTAAGTAGCTGAGCTGTTTCTACAAATAACTACAAAGAAATTGCTTGCATAATATATCACTTTCAATAGCTACTCACTGAAACATTTTAAACTGTTGCTGAGAGCAAGACTTTTTCTCCAGACAAATGTGTGCCTCAAATTGTCCATTTAGCTTATGGCATACAGCAAATCAAGCTCTTGCTTAAAAATTACAAAAATTTAGACATATGTGTCAAGGGTTGAGTATTCTTTGACTTGAAGAAATTTTAGATGGCTGAAGATAAGATCCCTAAGGGGGAAAAAAGATTTATTTGGGAAAAAATAAAAGAATCAGCACAACTTATTAACCTGATTCGACATGGTGGTGAGGCACAAGTACTCCAGAAATGCTGGTTGTTATTCAGCCATAAAAATTACTGATTCCCTGATTGAGCAAATGCAAACTGAGGGCCTAAAATGATCAATAATTTCTTAACTTATATACCTTTATGTTCATTAAAAGCATAAGTCACTCACCAACAATGTGAGTACTGAGACTTTGATTTGATCACTGTCTGAACAACATAGACTTTCTGTTTATGTTTATACTACTAATGTCAATATATATTTCTGAACTTTTAGAGATGCACTAAAATAAAAACTTAAAGAAAATACCAGCCAAAAGTTTAAAGGAACATAAGAAAAATAAAGCCTGATTTGGAAATTAGCTCTGGGAGGCAATATTGTAAAAGAGGGGCTTTTGAATCACAAGGCCCTGTAGCTTCTTATTTAAACTCTCTAAGCCTTAGCTTCTTCATCTGTTAGACAAGGAAGATAATATTTTCCCCAAACATTGCAATGTTTAAATAAGACATGTTAAGTGATTGGATCAGAGTAATTTATTACAAAATGTCAGTCCCTTTGCTCTTCCATTCCTGAAAATACTTTCTAAGAAAATTACAGTGAAAGGCTTTGGTGTTTAATAGGTCCAGCTCCATCAGTGAATGAAAATAGCATTTTATTTCAATGTTCAGAATAGTTAAAAAGTCAGTACTTATTGTAAATAACTACCATAAATATAGCAATGACCCATACTTTTATTTATGTAAATAATAACAGTAATGACCTGTACTGTTATTTATATTAATACATGAGAAGAAAAGCATTTGTTATGCACAGAAAACTTTGGGAGGCTTTCTAAAACAGTAGAAGGACAATGGACATTGCCACATGGAGACTTGAATTTTAATTCCAGCATTCCCTCAGTAAAGCAGTATGACCTTGTGGGGGCAATTACTTAACCTCTTTGAGGTTCCATCAGTCACTTAAAATTGGGGATTTAATAACCCAATTTTACAGGGATTTTGTAAGGATTCAATAAGATAATATGCATTAAGTATGCCTTGGTGTTTTAGTGAGTCATTAAATGAGTATAGAATCTCATGGGGCCTCCAAGCACATCACACCTGTACATCCTTTTGGTTTTCCTAGTTAACCCCTAATCTCTATAATTATTTGGTTTCTTCTTACCTTATGTTATAAAAGTTTTTAAAACAATTTCTTCAATAGCACCAACCTGCTTCACAGCAGGTTACAAACCTATCTGCTAAATTTTATTTCTGTTTATCAAATAGTACCCAAAATTGTCATTAATAATATAAAAATAAGGTTCCAGAACATAAACATTTATAGGTTTGCAGATTGCTAGAATGGGAATGGGCCTTAGAGATATTTCCTCTGCCCACCTCATTTTACAGAGGAGGAGACTGTGATGATCAAATTCTTCTTCTTCTGGGAGTTGTCATTCAGGCAAGACACTGGCCATGTACAAGGTAAGACTGACATCGGTTCATGGTGAGTTTGGAATCACCTTCAGACCATAATGTATCCTTTTTTGTGTGTATTAGTCCATTTTCACACTGCTGATAAAGACATATACAAGACTGGGCAATTTACAAAAGAAAGAGGTTTTATTGGATTTATAGTTCCACATGGCTGGGGAGGCCTCACAATCATGGTGGAAGGAGAAAGGCATGTCTTACATCACAGCAGGTAAGAGAGTAGAATGATAAGACCCAGGCAAAGTGAGTTTGCCCTGATCAAATCATCAGATCTCGTGAGACTCTTTCACTATCATGAGAACAGTGCAGGAAAGACCTGCCCACACAATTCAATCACCTCTTACTGGGTTCCTCCCATGACACATGGGAATTGCGGGAGTTACAATTCAAGATGAGATTTTGGTGATGATACAGCCAAACCATGTCATTCCACCCCGGCCCCTTCCAAATCTCATGTCCACACATTTCCGAACCAATCACACCATCCCAACAATCCCCCAACGTCTTAACTTATTTCAGCATTGACTCAAAAGTCCACAGTCCAATGTCTCATCTGAGACAAGGCAAGTCCCTTCTGCCTATGAACCTGTAAATTAAAAAACAAGTTAGTTACTTCCTAGATACAATGAGGGCATAGTCATTGGGTAAATACAGCCATTCTAAATGGGAGAAATTGGCCAAAACAAAGAGGCTACAGGCCCCATGCCAATCCAAAATCCAGTGAGGCAGTCAAATCTTAAAGCTCCAAAATGATCTCCTTTAACTCTGTGTCTCACATCCAGGTCATGTTGGTGCAAGAGGTGGGTTTCCATGGTCTTGGGAAGCTCCACCCCTGTGGGTTTGCAGGGTACAGCCTCCCTGCCAGCTACTTTCATGGGCTGGTGTTGAGTGTCTGCGGCTTTTCCAGGTGCATGGTGCAAGCTGTCGAAGGATCTACCATTCTAGGGTCTGGAGGATGGTGGGCCTCTTCTCACAGTTCCACCAGGCAGTGCCCCAGTAGGGACTCTGTGTAGGTGCTCCCACCCCACACTTCCCTTCTGCACTGCCCTAGCAGAGGTTCTTACTGAGGGGCCCACCTCTGCAGCAAACTTCTGCCTGGGAATCCAGGTGTTTCCATACATCTTCCAAAATCTAGGTGGATGTTCCAAAATCCCAATTCTTGACTTCTGTGCACTTGTAGGCTCAACACCATGAGGAAGTTGCCAAGGCTTGGCTACCCTCTGAAGCAGCAGCCCAAGCAGTACCTTGGCCTCTTTTAGTCACAGCTGGAATGGCTGGGATGCAGGAAACCAAGTCCCTAGACTGCACAGAGCAGAGGGACCCTGGTCCTGACCCATGAAACCATTTTTTCCTCCCGAACTTCTGGGCATGTGATGGGAGGGGCTGCAGCAAAAATCTCAGACGTGCCCTGGAGACATTTTCCCCATTGTCTTGGTGATTAACATTCAGCTCCTTGTGACTTATGCAGATTTCGCAACTGGCTTAAATTCCTTCTCAGAAAATAGGATTTTCTTTTCTATTGCATTGCCAGGCTGCAAATTTTCTGAACTTTTATGTTCTTCTTCCCTTATAAAACTGAATGCCTTTAACAGCACCCAAGTCACTTCTTCAATGCTTTGCTGCTTAGAAATATCTTCTGCCAGATACCCTAAATCATCTCTCTCAAGTTCCAAGTTCCCCAAATCTCTAGGGCAAGGGAAAATGCCACCAGTCTCTGCTAAAACATAACAAGAGTCTCATTTGCTCCAGCTTCCAACAAGTTTCTCATCTCCATCTGAGACCACCTCAGCCTGGAGCTTAATGTTCATAACACTATCAGCATTTTTGTCAAAGCTACTCAACAAGTCTCTAGGAAGTTTCAAACTTTTCCACATTTTCCTGCCTTCTCCTGAGCCCTCCAAAGTGTTCCAACCTCTGCTTGTTACCCAGATCCAAAGTCACTGCCACATTTTCACATATTTTTTCAGCAATGTCCCACTCTACTAGTATCAATTTACTGCATTAGCCCATTTTCACTCCTCTGATAAAGACATACCCAAGACTGGGCAATTTACAAAAGAAAGAGGCTTGATTGGACTTACAGTTCCACATGGCTGGGGAGGCCTCACAATCATGGTACAAGATGAAAGGCATGTCTTACATCACAGCAGGCAAGAGAGAGAATGATGAGAGCCAAGTGAAACAGGTTTCCCCTTATCAAACCATCAGATCTCATAAGACTCATTCACTATCATGAGAACAGCACACGAAAGACCTGCCCCCGTAATTCAGTCACCTCTCACTAGGTTCCTCCCATGACACATGGGAATTGTGGGAGTTACAATTCACAGTGAGATTTGGGTGGGGACACTGCCAAACCATATCATTTTGTTATTAATTAATGTTGAAAGAAAGAGTTTTCTATAATCTGTGACTTCAGATACACCTGCACTTGAATATCTGAATTTAACTGTGTGACTTTGAGTTTGTTCCTCTACTTTATTTTATTGCAAAATGGGGATGGTATTGACTATTGTCAACTGGCACATAGTATTCACTCCACAATATTAGTCTACTTCTTCATTTCTCTTTATTTTATTTCTCATAGATAATAACTTCTTTGGTGTCACAGGCTATGATTTATTTGTCTTTGACATCTCTGATAACTCCGTAAGTAGGGGTAGATTTCCAAAAAAATTGCAGAGTTCGCAAAATTATAGCAAATCATTGCCCCGAAGATTACTGAAAACAACTAGCATTTCTGGAGCATAAATATCTTGCTAAGCACCATTCTTTGCACTTCACATTTATTAATTATTTGTCTTCATATCAATCTATGAAGTAGTCACTGTTATTATGACCATCTTACAGATTAGAAAACAGTCTGCCACATTAAATGATTTGACAAAATTTACATATGCAGTAAGTGGGACAATGAGGATTTGAACCCAAATACACTGGGTACTCATTGACTCTATATGTTACCTGTAACCTATAGAGAACTAAATAAATGTTTAACTCACAAGAGTGTCTTTAGAAAATCAAGACTAAAACAATCTGGATGCATTTTCTTCAGTGTTCTTGTGGCTGTGGTTGTTTTTATTTCTTTCTCTTTCTTGGATTTCTGTTTTGTATACTACATTGCTAGAAACTATAATACTATAGATAAATCATCATCATTTGACTTCTGTGTGATGTTGTTTTTCTAAAAAAAAAAAAAAAAAAAGCTTATGCATTGAATTAGCTAGGTCCCATAACGTTCTCCTCAAAGTCCTTCCTGCCCTTGTCAGCAACAGAATCAGCAGCTGTAGCCAGGAGTGTCAGTAAAGAGGCTTGATTAAATATAAATACGTCTATGGAGTCATATTTAAGGCAAACTTTTTAGGTCACTGCAGTTGGGAAGAGAAAGTGATTTTGGATTTTGAGTGTGAGATTAAATTCTAAATAAATGAGGCTGAAAAATAGAGTACATGGCACCTGTGTGTACCCTGAATCCAGAGACCGAGAAAAAATATTAAGAACAGTTTAAAAAACTTACCATGTGAAATATGCTGTAATATCTTTTCTTTATCTTCCCTCATAAAAAAAAAAATATCCCAGCTAGGAAGATTGCAAGAGAAACATGTATAAGAACTTCCACCAGTGGCATCATTTAAAATGAAAGAATTTTTTTTCCACTCACCTAACTCTCTAACCATATAGGAAAATAAATAATGTAAATAGAAGACAAGTGTTAAACTCAATGGAATATATGCTTGAAGTTTTCCATAATCATTTGGGCTTCAAAGATAATTTGAGGGGATTGTTGGTTCTGGCCCAAACGAAATAGTCCGTTTGTCCCAGGTCCTCCTTCTTACAACTAAAAAACCTGTGACATAACACAGAAAAATAAACATAGGAAGTTGGAAGAGTGGAAAATGGCAAAGAAGGAGGGGTGTCTAGCGATGTTGAGAAATGACACAGTGGCACAGTGGTGAATTCCCTGGGTTTACTTATTATCTCTCATATATTCATATTGGGTGCCTCCAATCCAGAACAGCCAACAGAGCAAAAGCAGCTCTGAGAAAGCCTGTTAAGCCTAGCTAAATGACAGGAGAAGGGATGGCCTAAGACAGCAAAAAACCTTTTCAGCAAAATATTGGCCTAGTCAGTCCAAATACCTATGGAAAATTACCCTGTACCCCTCATGGTTTCTGGAGGGCTGATTTAATTGTCAATATCCCACCCCACCAACCGGCAGCTGGGGAAAACAGACAACAGTGCTGTAATTTTTCTGCCTTGTGATAATGGTGCCTAGCAATGAGCTAATCTTCCATCCCTGGCTCAATGCAAGTGGGTGGCACTCTGTTTCCCCAGCAAGTGAAGGTAGTGTACCTGCGTCTGAGCTGGGAGCTGGTCTCTCTTCTAGTACTCAGCAGAAGCAGTCAGTGGGTATGTTGTCAGCAGAGTCCAGTGGCTAGCTGAGTGTCCACCCTCACCCAGCGGCAAAGGGTGCAAGTCAGGGGAAGACAGCATCCTACTTTCTTTCATATTTGTAGTCAGTGAGAGCTGGTGGGGAGCGGAACCCCCCAAAACCACCTGGTACCAAGGAGAATGACCAAAGCAATTCGAGGCAGGGCTTCTTAGCCCTCTACTTCAATATAGAACCCTCATTGCTGTGTCAAAGGGTTCCAGTGGGGAGCTGAGCATCCACCCGTGTCTTTCCTTAATGGAGCAAAATGAACTGGTGTGTGTTGGGGCTAGTGTACACTCTTGATAGCATATCTTCTATTAACTGTTTTTTTTCCCTTTTTTGATTATCTAAATTTTCTACAGATGTCTCCTTCAGCTCCCAAATGAAATATTTGTACTTGAATCCTTGCCTCAGTGTCAACTTCTCAAAGAAACCAAGATAAGGTATCATCCGACTAATATTTACTCAGAATTTTCTAGATTCAGAACATTGTTGTAGGAGTACTGTATTTCTGGAATAAAACAATGTAAAGTAAGCTGTCTCTATTCTCGTGGAGCTAATACTTTAGTGGAGGAAAAGGAGATTCATCTTGTCAGTAATTATTTAACTTAAATTGTGTTATGAGCTATGAGGAGAAAGGAGGTGACACCAGGGCAATGCAATGCTAATTAAAAAAATAATAAATCCCTTGGATTCATCACAATCCCAATCCCATTTCATAATCCAGGTCTGAATCCACCCTTATAAATAGTTCATCTCCACCACTCCAACTCTTTCTAAAAACTTGCCGAATGGTAGGTTAAGCAACACACATTCATGTGTTAATTCATTCATATGCCAAATAAAACATTATTAAGAATCTAGCATGTATCAGGTACTGTGTTACAAAATAAAAATGATTAAAATATTATACTGGCACCATACAGTATGTAATCAAATAGAACATAACAGAAAATGAAATGTTGATCTAAATAGAAGAGGATGACAAAAGAGAGGAAGTCCCCCGGAATATGGAAGAATAGGAAATTTCAGCTTTGAAGGAATTCCCCCTCCCTCCAAAAAGAGAAAAATATCAGGATGCAAAAAAAGACTCTTCTTTTCACTATTTTCAATAGTACATTTGAAGAACTGAAGGGTTCATAGAAAAAATGAATCTATAAAAATATATTTGGCAAGTACATTTCAATTTATTTCAGTTCATTATTCTTTATCTATCTCATCTAAAGAGTTCCTTTAGCTTAACAGGATAGAATTGTGGAGTGCTCACTGGGGGCCACAGGAGCGGGGATTGTACCTCGCTCAATGATGGAATCTAATCTCTATCCCATTGTGCCTTTGCACATGTCCTGTGCTAACCACCAAGCCCCGGCATCCTTATATTTCTGTTGTGATGTGTGAATGCCAAGTCGATTTAAGAATCATTGCATTGAGCACCAGGCAGGAGTTAATTTATCCCTTGATGTTAGAATAGATTCACATATCTGCTACACTGAATCACTTAATATTATTTAAAGAGAGAGGAGTTTAAGTGTGAGAAATGTCTTGGAGCCACTATTACAATTCCACATAGGTCTTCTCGTCTTTAGTTTGCTGTCTATGAAAGGTCATCCCCTGGGTTACACTGGCATCACATGAAGTCATTTTATTATATCTTCACGGTTTTTATCTGAAAATTGTGTGTTTATTTTATATACACCATCACAATGCCAAGATGTACCAAAGATATTGTTTTCCCATTGTATGTTCTCAAATACCTCAAAAATCGTTATTTTTTACCACATTAACCAGAATTGCAATGAAATCATTAATTGAAAAAGTCATTGCTTAACAGTTTTCTCCACCACTAAAGTTTGCTCAGCTTCATAAAGGCAGAGCCATGTCTACCTTGTTCACCACTGACTGTCTAGTTTTCAGAAAAGTGCTTTATACAAAATACATCCTTGTTGAATGAAGAGTGAAATGCTAAGAAAGCTATTTTTATATCAATGCATCTTAATCTTTAGCATATATAAAAACATCCTTGCCTCCATCTCCTCCAGCTAGAGGTTTTGATTCATTCAATTGGGATGGGCTCATGATTTACGTTTCTAACAAGCTTAGAAGTGAAGGTTAGTCTGCTGGTTTGGGCAACATATTTTGGAAACCATTGGTCTACATGACGTTGGTTCACTGTATGGTCTAGCTAAAAAATACATGATAATGTTCTAGGTCTGCAGTTAAATCATTGTGGCCTCCATAGCCCATTTAAAATGTTGGGCATAGTGGTTATGAAGCAGTATAAGTAAAGTTAGGAGGCCGTACTGACATGTCTCTTTGAGTGAAGCCCAGCGGGCCCCTTTCACAATTAGCTCTTTTAGCTTGCACCTTCATGCATCAACACCTAACTCTCTTATAAGATAAGTGGTTGTATAGAACACCAGCAGAATATCAGATGGCTACAGGTTCCCGATACCTAGTACAGCCTGGGAAAGAGAACAAAAGCCCCTTATTCCTGATGTAGATTGGCTCAATCTCCAGCCAATTAATCAGCACTAAAAGCCCAAGAAGCTATTAGCTACAAATTCCTTCCTGGAGGAGAGGGCAAGGGACTTCTCCAGGATCCCACATGCACAGCTAGGCTCAAAGTTAATGTATAGCAAACTTTTCATCATTTTAATAGTAAAAACACACTCCTAGGTGGAGATTTTACACGCCAATGATACTTGCAATGTGCATTAGTGCACGAAGATTCTGAGCGCATGCGCCAACTGCAGATTCACCTCTGCATACTTGACCTCACCAGTATTTTATGTGTATGTAAAACTCCCATAAAAAAAAATTCCTCTTAAGGCACTAGTTGCTGTCTCTCTCTTTGAGCAGCCTTCTTTTCCTCTTAGAACATACTTTTGCCTTGCAATAAACTTCTTTGCTCATTCTAACTTTTGACTCACTCTCAAATTCTTTTGTGCAGCTAAATCAAGGACCAGAACTGGCCTACTGGTGACAGTTTGTAATGTCTTGTGTCCCCGTGTAAAGAATAAGTCTGTATAAAGTCACAATCTGTTATGGTTTATTTGGGCCAGAAATAGACTCAGGTAGCCCAAGGGATTATGACATTCCCTGACTGTTGTGGCTCAGCCCCTCATGTATCTATAACAAATATCATTTAAAATGTCTAACCCGGTGGGGTTACCTTTGTCATAATTTTGCCTTTCTTCCTTTGTACCAGTTTCTGTGTATATATGAGTAGGTCATAAACTGTTGACCCATATTGTCAATCTCCTAGGATTTCCTAAAATCTGATTTGTTTCTGAGATTTAGAGGACAGTTTTCAAGGGACTTGAAGTTTATATTCATATTCCTGTTGCCCACCAACCACAAACTCATTGCCAAACACCACATGTCAATGGAAATCTAAGAGCACATATAGTGCTATGTCTCTTACTGACACCACAACTGGTTCATCAGCCTACTGATCCCTCTTTTATCATAATTTGCTACTCACATTGTCCAGCTTCAGAGATATTTGAATTCAACTCTACTGTTTATTAAACTCTACTATTTATTGCAATACTTCTGGGTTAATTGACATTCTAGTAGTTTCTTGGAAATTAATTAATCACAAGTTATCTCTACTCACTGCTGGTTTAGGAGGGGTGGCTGTCTTATGTTTTGAGGAAGATAAACAGTGAGTTAGTTAAGGAAGTTGGAAAATAGAAAACAATAGTACATGTACGGAGCATCATTACAATTGCTGTGCTTCCTGTTCCCATTTTCAGGGGGCCAAATGTGGGCTGCAATTCTAACCATTTGAATCTTATACACTCTGCTTGTCTTTACCATAAATTTCCCTTTACTGATGCTTGGCTGTAAATAAGTCCCTTTTCCAGAAATTAGGCAAGACAATGGAATAACCACCAGTTCTCAAGGTAATCTGCAGCTCTTTTACTTCAAATGGATGTGGAGTTCTCCAATCTCCCACTCCTCCACATGAGAACTGAGACCTTATCATCTTTCCCATCCTTTCCTAGTCATCAGTTGATTTCCTGGTCTATACATGGCTTATTTCTTCCAAACAACTGCAGGTTTCCAACTTCCTTTAAAAACAAAAAACAAACAAACAACACACTCTTTAGACAGCATTATATATGGCATATAGAGGATCAAGGAAAAGTGCATTTGGATATTTTCCTCCAAGATTCTAGTTTGCTTCTTGGTGTCACAATGCATTCTCAGAAATCACGTATTTCTCAGCACTCTAATGAAACTGAAGGAGCTGCTGCTACATATTAGAGGCTATCATCAATAACAAATCCATCTCATTGAGACTTTACTATCACCCTAAGCTCTGAACTAAGAATGTCTTCCCTCCCTCTCATTTACACACCGTGCTAGAAGTGATTGTCTCTTCTTATAATCTCCTCTAGCTTATTTTGTGTTATTTTCTGGATTCCCATCTGTGAACGAATCATGTTGGCATTATAAAGTCCTTAGCAAGTGGGATTCTCCTACTTCAATTTTCTCTTTACCTCCTACATTAGTCTTCAGCCCCCTTTCTTTTTGGTGATTTCAAAATTGGTGATTTCTTTTCCTCCTTTTTGGTTTCTTTTTATACAGTCATATGTTGCATAATGGTGTTGTTTCTATCAACAACAGACCACATAAATGATGGGAGTCCTATAAAATTACAATATCATATTTTACTGTACCCTTTCTATATTTAGATATATTTAGATAATTTTCTACAATATTTAGTACAGGACCATGCCTCACAGTTTTGTAGCCTAGTAGCAATAGGCTATACCATATAACTTAGGTATATTGTAGGCTATACCACCTAGGTGTGAATAAGCACATTCTGCGATGTTTACACAAAATTGAAATTGCCTAATGACACATTTCTCAGAATGCATTCCCGTAATTACATGAAGCCTGACTGTATACACCTTTGTATTCTTCAGCTAGATAGAGCCAAGTTATCACTGTGTCCCATTCACAGAAACTGAAATCGGTGACCCTGACTTTCTGGCAGCTTTGTATGTAAGCATAAACAGATCAGATTTCTGCTGGCCCATGCAATTGACTGTCTCTGAGAAAGGTTGTAGAAAGTAGGCATAAGAACAGCTACAACTACCATACTTGATATCTGTAGAGTTCTCGTTCACCAGAATCATGACCAATGTAGAGCTTTTGAATATTTGTGGTAAATATTTCTTAGCTGCGGTACTTAAGTGTTCTCATTTAGCAAAAGATAGCCTGAGATGCAGAAGAATAAAATGCCTTACCTGAAAATGCACACGAATAGAGAGGGTTACATCTCATATAGGTGCTTAAAACTATTTATTGGATTGCATAAGACAGCAAATGAGTTAAAGCCCTTGGAAAACTATATGGAGATCCAGCTCAGGGGCTCTTTCCAAAAGCTGTCATCCCTCTATTCAAGTAGCACAGAGTACAGTCATAGAGAGTGGGAAAGCTGAGATGTCCTTATTTCTTCACTCTCTCACTGTATAAACAATGACACCTGCCCTCCTTTGCCTAATACAGTTGTACCATAATTTTAAGAATAATACAAAGAAGCAAGGAAATGTGTCACATTGAGCTCCGTGGCCACAGTGCCTAGCATCATCCCTACGTTGTAGTAGGTATATGATGGATACTCACTAGATAAGAAGAATGCTGGAGGAAAAATAAAAAGCAAAGCCATGAGAAGCTCTGCCAATCATACCCTCTCCATTCAAATATTCATGAACTGATGAGGCGGAGAAATTGTTCTGCTCTGTTACAAAATCTGTCCCCGTTCCCTCTTCCACACATGTAAGCAGCAAGCACTTACTGTCAGATTTTGACCCTGGGGAAGTCATTCATTTCCACTCGAACCAGCTGTTTCAAATAACTTGTGCATGTTGCATTTACCAACAGAAAATTATACCTTTTTTTCTTTGATTCACTGAGGGATTTTTGTTTGGAAAACATTTACTAGTATCTTTCAGCTGCTATGCTAGATTTCGCAGCAAGCTTCTCATTTTAAAAGAGGAACCCCCACAATGTCCCAACCTTCAAGGTCTCTTGTGGTGTCCCGCGAAGGGGAACATGAAGGGAGGTGGAAGGGGAACAAAGTGTTCTCCTGGAATTAGTACTCGCCAGGGGCTGCTTCAGAGTACAACTATTAAAAGGAAGCTTGTAGAGTGGGGAAACACCAGAAGAATGGAGCAATAAGAATAAGGTTCAAACCTTGGATTCAAAATGTTGAGTTATTGAACCTTTACATTGCACCTTCATAAAATGAGAATAAAGATACGACTCTATAAGGTATGTAGTATATTGTTTCTAATACACAAGAGGTGCTCCAAAATTGTAGCTACTAATTTAACTATTTTTTGAAAAAAAGTTCTGCCCTTTTTAAGAAGGCAAAAGTAAAACTTAACACATCACCAGAGATATCATTAGGACAATATGGGATATTGTTTCCATGGAGGTTATAGAATTGCACCAATAAAGACAGCATTATTTCACATACCACATTCTCTTACAAAATCTAACTTGTAACAGATAATTTACATTTCTAGAGAACAAGCTCTTTATGGTACATAGAAATAATCCTGTCATACAGTGACCATTCAGTAAGTATGCATTTAATAATAAAATGCATAGATTAGTGATACAGACCATTATGATGACAAACGATAGTGCAACATTTATTTAGTAAGAAGTGAGTAGATGCAGAACTTTAGGTGCTATGAAGGATAAAAATTCTGAAGGCGACACTGCCTTTGCCCTCCAGCATGATTTGGTAGTTAGAGCATATAGGACATGTTTTAAGAAGAGTGAGTCATCTTGTGACTGAAGCATCAGATTTGGGGAGATTTGAGGTTTAATGTTAAATGTATTTAAAAGTGTAGAATGATATGATAAAATACTTTACTCTGAATTCTGATAAACCATCCAGAATGCTTGATCCAGAGGAAAGGCCAATCAGATGGAAGCAGGAGGATATTAAAACGTCTGGTTTGCTAGTTTTCCAACTATAACCTACAGGATACAAAGGAATGAGTGGCAGGGCTTTGAGATCAATATCTTCACTTTCACCAGTCAGTCTCATTATACATGGGTTATATATTTTAAAAATAAGTAGTCTTGGTGAGGAGGGTAGAAGACGACAAACCTCGGATGTAATATGTTGTGAAAATTAAGTCAAATTTGGCAATAATTAAACAATTACATTTCAGAGTTTGGTAAACATTTCAGGGTGAAAAGAAGGAAAATCAAAAGTTGCTCATGAAATGATAGTGCTGGAATAAAGATTAAGTTATCCAAGATAAAAAACATAAGAAGAAGGGCAGTGTGTGTTCCTTGAGTGTGTCAAGGAACAAAATTTTAACGAGTTGAATTTTAAAGATCTAAATGGCTTTTATTAGCAATTCGTAAGTCCAGTAGCATTCATTCTACAAAATATTACAGAAAGGCACTCAACTAAACTGAGCAGAAGAAGTGAGCTTTACAGGCAGAAAAGGCTGAAGAAAGCAGAAATAAAGAAAAGAAAACAGATTGATTGTTGAAAGTCACTTTTCTTATAGGGTGAAAGCGACGACTTCTTTATCATGCTGGCTCAGGTTAACTGTGCCCCTTTAAATTGATTGCAGTGAATCTTCTGTTTGTTTTTTTTTGTTTTGTTTTATTTTGTTTTTGTTTTTTGTTTTCTGTTTTTTGTTTTTAAACTGGCCCCTTTCTAAGTTCCCTTTGATTATCTGGCACATGGCATCAGTGACTCCATTCTGGAGTTACTCTATTCTTTTTTGATCTGGTCTTTTATAGCCTAGTGCAGGACCTCAGTCCAAAATGAAGGCCTCTCATACATTTTATTTAAGAGGTGAAAGGATGAACTATCCTAGGTGTGGAATAAAGTGACACTAATTATTCTGCAAAGAAAAAGAACAAGTGACCTCATCAGCAAGATACTCTTCAAGCGTCTTAGATTAACTAAGATTAAGTATATATCAAGGATTAACTCTCCAAAACTTGTCCACCGACTTCTGCCAAATGGCTGGCCCACACTGGGGCAGGGTCCTGGGTTGTCCACCTGGATCTAGCTATGATTTAGGACTGTGAATAAATGGTGGACAAATAACTAAAGGAAAAACGGATGAAAATTATATCTATTATTCTTTTCCCACTAAAGTATTTACTCACTGATTTCTAATGATGGAAAAGACACATTCTAGCCCCAAAGAACTGAAATTTTCCTTTGGTTAATCTGATCCTTTCAAGAAAAAGGGCAGTGCCCCTTTTTCTTCATGAAAATATCCCCTCTTTGAGGGTCAAGTCTGCTGAATCCAGTCTTTAAGATAACAGATTTCTTCTCTTAAATAAGATTTAAATGTAAAAATTAAGTAGAATCTCACCATTTTAGCTTTTTGAGTAACTTTATCACATGATCTAAACATCTCATTTAATGAAACTGGAAATGTCAAAGGAATTCTCTGATTTGACCCCTAGGTTAAAAGCTGCTTAAGAGCCAGGAAAATTTCTTACTCTTATATTTTCTATGCCTAGTGCATTTCAGGTACTCAGTACCTGAAAAATCAATTTATGCGCTATATTAACTTATCCAAGATGTTTATTTCTTACTTCCTTTTTTCTCTCTCACACACACATACATACACATGTGTGAGCATGCACATATGCACAGATATGAATATACATACACATATCAGTAATAATCTATGGTTCAGCTCCAGTCAGCATACTGTCAACATTCATCACCTGCCAAAGTGTATTTTAACTGGACAGAGTAATTACCTATTTTTTCCACAGACAAAAAAATCTGTAACAGTGATACAATGAGGAATTTCATACTAATTTTTAAGTTTCAGATAAAATTTTTATATATTCATGTCTCTATCAAGATAAGATGGGAATAAAATTTCAAGGTTACAGAATTTTACACAAGGTTGTCTATGAAGTTTTGCTGATGGCTATGCTAAGATTACTGCTTGAATGGCTATCAGGACCGGAATTGAGTAAGTTCATATCAAAAGTGAAATTAAAGGGGAAAATGATCTAAGAGGATTTTAAAAGAATGGGAACTCTTTCAAATCTTTCTTCGAGGTGTGAAGATATTTGGAAGATTTGTTTTAAAAAATGACAGTGAACAGTATAATAATCCATACATTTATGGAGGGTAAACAGTATAATAATCCATACATTTATAGAGGGAGTTCCACTTTGCAAAGCACTCTCACAGACATTATACCATTTAATTCTCACAGCAACCACAATGCAGTGGTTCCAACAGAAATTAGGTTCTCCAATTTATAGGTGAGAAAACTGGGACATCAAGGATTAATCCGAGGCATTCAGGCTGAGTTTTTTTCTCCCATTTAGAAGCCTTTTACAGTCTCCTTGGTTACATTTAACAATTAACCTGTGTGGAAGACAGGAGGGTTGCTTCACTGCTTTTTCTTAATGGCCAGAAAGGACCACCTTTGAGAAGACAAGCAACACACTGAGACATGCTATTGAAAATGAATCTGGCTGAGCTAATAACTGACTTCAAGCAACTTCATTTTTGCCTTTGAAGCACACTTTATCTTGGTGAAGACAAAGAACACACTATTTTCAGTCTGCATTGCTAGCTCTAGGATCCACAATAGCTCAATCCAATTAAAGGCCTATTCAGGTTAACCATTTCAGTTACACTAGGTGGCTCTGCAAAGATAAAGGAAGTTGAACAATTCTGCATATTGACTGACATCATCACTGTCTTTTGTAAACTAGGTTGGCATTCATTTCTAGGGGCTTCCAGCAGTCACTGTTTGCTAAAAAAAAAAATAATAAAAATAAATAAATTGAAGAAAAATGGAAAACATTGATGTTTACCTGGCCTAAGACTTTTATGGCAAAAGCTCAGACCAAAGAGCAAATTAATGGATACATTGGTCCCAAACCATAAAGAGAAACGTTTGGAATGTCTTAAATGCTTCATACATATTTTATACTACTTTGGGAACATATAACAGCTTTGACTTTAGACCTTAACGATTTAGGAAATAAAAGAAAGGGAAATGATGTCTGGGCTGAACATGATCTGACAAACTGAATTTATGTCTGCTAATGTGAAATATTTATTTAAGCCAGTATAGCAGAGGGTGATATTCCATGGAATAGAGATAGAGCACATGAGTTCTAGATGTTCCCAGTAGCTATCAGTGCTTTATTCATAAATCATTAAATGTTGATGGGTTTGATATAGAAAACCAAGGCAAAAGGATTGCTGTACAGTGAGAAATATTGATGCAATTTGTATATTTGCCCAAATCCTATGTTGAGTGGTCATTCCCAGTATTGGAGGTGGAAACTGCTGGGAGGTGATTGGATCATGTGGGGGTGGATTTCTCATGAGTGCTTGGTGCTGTCCTTGTGATAGTGCTTGCAAGATCTAGCTGTTTACAAGTGTGTGGCACACCTCTGTCTCCTGTTACTCCTTCTCTGTCCATGTGATATGGCTGTTCGACCTTCACCTTCTGCCATAATTGTAAGCTTCTTGAGTCTTCTGCAGAAGCTGAGCAAATGCAGGCACTAGTCTTCCTGTAAAGCCCACAGAATCATAAGTCAATTAAATGTCTTCTCTTTTGAAATTACCCAGTCTCAGGTATTTCTTTATAGCAATACAAGAACAGCCTAATACAAAACCTAGCATGGTTTCTACAATCTATAAAGAACTCTTCATTTTCTAAATGTAGCTAAATCATGTGCAGCCCAAAACATTAATACAATGCATCTGACCTAAGGCTTAAATTAAAAAATTTATGATTAGCCCTTTCTCCTTGGACCTTCCAGACAAAGCCAACTTTTAATTGAGAGATAGGCTTAAATCTCATTTAACATAGAGATTCTGGCAACATGTAAGGCCTGAGCTCCCAGGGTGGCCAGGAAAAATACAAATTCTAAGAGATAAAATCTCTCATCATGTAGGCTGGGCTCAGTGGCTCATGCCTGTAATCCCAGCACTTTGGGAGGCTGAGGAGGGGAGATCATGAGGTCAGGAGTTTGAGACCAGCCTGACCAGCATGGTGAAACCCAATCTCTACTAAAAATACAAAAAATTAGCCGGGCATGGTGGTGCACGCCTGTAGTCCCACATACTCGGGAGGCTGAGGCAGGAGAATTGTTTGAATCTGTCAGGCGGAGGTTGCAGTGAGCCAAGATCACACCACCGCACTCCAGCCTAGGTGACAGAGTGAGACTCCATCTCAAAAAAAAAAAACTCTCATCATGTCAAAACTAGTCTCAATACATCCCTTTGTTTTTAATTTTAGCCTATCCTCTGGAAGTAAATATGGAATGGGGCAAAGTGCATACAATAAGAGTTGTTGAAACTACAAAAATATCTCACAAAATTTCAGCATAGAAAAATGTTCAATAAATTTTAATCATTATTTTTCATCATTATCAGCAGTATTAACAGCAGCAAAATACCCTAAAGGCTGTTAGGTAGTCTTATCAAATAGTCTATGATTTAGCAACTTTGAGTATAGTTATCTATTCTCAAATGATTCAATATGAACTTTTAACTTATAAGGCTACAAATTAAGGGAAGAATGTCTTTAATAATCACATAAAACAAGACAGAAATGGACACTATTTATAAAAAAATTATAAGACTTAGAAGAATAATGCATAGAATTATTTAGGCTGATCATGATTTGAACATGTTTCCTTTAACCTTAGGAAAAGTCCATTGAAAATAAGAGATAGTCCCAACTCTTGATCTCCCTAATGCAAAATATCTATCAAAAGATCCAGATGTCTTCCGCATCCTCATTCACGTACTTGACACTCCGTCTTTCTGTGGGGCAGGTGCATGTCACTCAAACTGTTTGTTCTGTTGGTATAAACAAACAGAACCAGTTAAACTGATTTTCCTCAAGCAATCTCTTCAGAAAGAAAGATTAGATTCAATTATTCAAACTGAACTAGGTACCCGATGGCCACCAGTCATCTGAGTCTATGACGAAGGTACCATCAATCTGTATCCTCCGATTCGTGCAGATTCCACATGTAGGGTAA
Source organism: Homo sapiens (assembly GCF_000001405.40). Classification (NCBI taxonomy): domain Eukaryota; kingdom Metazoa; phylum Chordata; class Mammalia; order Primates; family Hominidae; genus Homo; species Homo sapiens. The sequence continues at coordinate 42,079,942 of NC_000011.10, read as the reverse complement.
AAAATAAATCACTTTTTTTCCAGAGGTACCATGTGTACCCTTGAGACTGCAATTTGTGAGTGGAATTTGGATAAGAGCATGCATTCCTCCTAAGAACATGGTGACTTCACTTTAGAAGTAGCTATAGAGACCTTCCAGTATTTAAGAAAATAGTACCAATAGGCCATGTAGCCCTCAGGTGACTACAGAGATTGCTCTAAAGTAAGGTTACCATTGGTTACTCAGATTACTTCTTGGAGGGAAAACTAATGTATTATTTTTGTGTGCTTTTCAAATAGTTATTCCAATGGATATCATTTAGTGTCCTAATAGAGGTCATTCAATTAGAAAAACTGATCAAAATTTGTTTCTGACTCTTGATGAAGCAACCAATGACAACACCTTGGCCCTGAAATACATGCAGGTCAGGTTCACTGTCCAGGGTTGTTATGGATGATTAAATTACCCTAGACTTTCTTCCTGCAAACCAGCTTTGTGCAATAACTAAGATGTCCTTCTGTACCTGGATTAATGCCATAGGCCAAATGAAAATGTCGATGTAGACGCTTTAGCAGAAATCTACATGGATTTCTAAGTTATACCCTAATAATTTCAACTCATTCAACTTGTTGATTTCAGGACCATAGGAAGCACTGTTGAGGTCAGCACTGTAGGTTGACTTCATTCTGCTATGTGAATCACTGTCAATATAAGCCTTTCAATACTACAGGAGACAAAACAAAATGATTTATTTTCACCCTATATTGCTCAGATTCATTAGAGTGGTCAAGGAAGTATCATACTCATAGAAAAATTTGTTAGAAGCAAAGACAATGTAGGAATGAGGAGTATATGTTTTGACAATTTTTCCCAAGTTCCTCACATTTCTGTATGTCTTACAAGCAAAGACACTGCCTCATTTTGTTCTGTCTTATCTTTTCAAGGATGTTTGTACAGCAAATAGCTTTGGAAGATAGCAATAATATCTCCCTCCAGAGAAAAGTGTAGGTTTGTTTAATGTACAGCATAGTAAAGATGACATTCCATGCTAGGCAATGACCAGGCAGTTTCACTGTCTATCATCAAGGATTTGAGTTCTCTAAGCTTGGGTCCTTTTCCTATAAACACATATCACATTTCTACATAGCAGGTAGTCTTTTTGTTTGTAACATTCCATGGAATTTGAGGCTCTGAGAACCAACACAAATGCTGATACTCTACATACTACTATTGCAATAAGTAACAAAGCTGTTTCTCTCTGACCCAGGAGTCTTATGTATTCTGCCATCTGCCATAAAACTGTGTCTATTAAGTTTTTAGTTTGCAAATAAGATAAAATCTCAGACCCTTCAGAGTTTTTGACAGAGGTTGGGCATAATCATAGTAGTAAATATTTTTATTTTTCTACTATATTTATACCTTGTACTTTTTTGTGATAGTGACTGTATTTGTAGTGAGCATGAAAAATTACACTTATAATATTCAATGTCAAATGTGGAAGCTGACTCTTCATGAGATCATCATGTTTAGTTTTTTCATTCTCAATGGGAAAATGGTTGTGTTTATCAATTGTGACTATTTTCTACTAGTCTTAAAACAAATAGGTCAAGAGTATGGGTCACTTACTAGGAGCAGATTTATAAGAAAACAGAATATCTGTAAATACAAAAATGACTTTTTTAACAAAACATGTATTTGTAAGATGGACTAAGTTTATGCTGAGGCAACAAATAATCCTAAAATTCTTGGGACATAACACAAAGTTTGTTTCTCACTCACACAAATTCTGCTGACAACTTGCTAGCACAGATGCACAGATGCAATACATCCAGGCTGCTAGATCATGGCTCTCCATTTTTGCCTTCACACTCAACTTCAGAAGAGGAAGAGACTGTTGGAATGTTGCACAAACTTTTTCACTGCCTCAACATGAAAGTGACACGTGACAGTAACTCTCAGACTCCATTGACTAGCTATAGTCACATGACCCCACCAAATCACAAGGGGAATGAGAAGTGTCATCTCATATGTAGAAGGAAGATAGTACTTGTTAATTTTCTGTAAAAATTTAAAACAATTACCTTTGTATCTCATTAAATGAAAGTCATGTTTTGGTCACTATTGCTTCCCAATGTCTATATGAGAAAGTCTATAAATATGACCAAAAACACCTTCACTTCAGCTAGAATAATCACCTGGTTGTTTCTCAGGTGAATGAGCTGCACGCATTGTGAAAAATCACTCTTACATTTATCTTTCTATGAGATAATCTAACAAACAATGCTAATTCTCAGCTTCAGTAAATTTGGATAGTTACTTAAGAAGTAGTTTTAAGTATACTTTATTATCCGATTTAGCCCTCCTAAAATCCTACAAATTAGATTGTTATAATTATTTCTATTTTTTAAATCAGGAAAAGCAGTTAAGGAGAGGTCAAATGATCTGTTCAGAGATTCAAAGCCAGGGCTTTGGGGAATCCAGGCAGTTTATCTCTTGAGACCAAATTCTTCACTACCTCAGTATACTACCTTCTTAAAATATTCACATATTACTACAGCACGCATTTGGTAGGGTTATCAAATCAGCAATATCTCTTAGGCTGGTACAAGGACAGTCTCACTGTAAAACAAAATGATGATCTGGTCTCAAGTATGTAGACAGACTTAAGTTTAGTAAAACCCAGAATAGGAGGGTACTTTGAGAGTGAAGAAAGTTGAAGACATTTTGTCAATCTAAGCTACTTTTTTGCTTTATTCTACTTCATAATTTGCATTGTGAAGACTGGTGAGAGACACTTTGAGGTCTTGATTATGTGACTTTGTTTTATATCCAGAGTACACACGATCCCTATCGATGTTTTACAACCATTCTTTTAGAACATAATTAGGAAAGGCATGATTATATTTGGGGTAATAATCATAAATTGGTGGATTTCAATGGCAGCAGTGTTTAAATTTTACTAACATTAAAAATTTAGCATAATATATTGGATATCTCTATGTTAAACAATAATTTTTGAACTTATAGTATTTTATCAGTGCAATTGTATGTCGATTATCTGACTTAGTATTTCAAATATCTGGTTAGAAAGGTAGAATATTCTTTGTTACTACCATATAGAGATGAAAAAAACTGTGGCAGGGGTTAAATGGCCTTATTTATTTTTAAAGCAAATTAATCTCAGGAGGCTGAGGCAGGAGAATGGCGTGAACAGGGGAGGCGGAGCTTGCAGTGAGCCGAGATCGCGCCACTGCACTCCAGCCTGGGCGACAGAGCGAGACTGCCTCAAAAAAAAAAAAAAAAAAATTAATCGTATGAGCTATTTATTCAGGCTGGGTGACAAGGAGTGAAATAAGATATATTTAAGATATTAAAGAGTGTACAAGAAGTGAAATAAGAGATATCTTAGATATTAAAGAGTGTTCCATCTACAAGATGGAACAGTGAGCTGGTAATGAAACTAAACTGATCAAATATAATTTGATTAAGGTTCTATTAGGATAGTATTTTGATGCTTTGGTTCTGACCTAGTTCAATTAATTATGAACACAAAAAGAAGTTACAATTTAAATTGATTTTGCTCATGGTTCAATTCATAGTTAATATTTTGAAACAGCTAAGTACATTCAAGGGCTTATTCCAGTTTTAGATTCGAGATTTGGTTGTAAGCAAGTTGTTAATGAAATTGGAGCATACTTAGGAAGGAAACGGAAGAACATAGTACAGTTATATTTTGAGAGGCTACGTTTCTATCTTATTTAATCTTTATAAGTCTGTGAAATATTGTCATTATCTCCACATTACAGGTAAGTAAACTTAAAGCATTATCTTCGTTAGGTAACCTTTCCAATAGTCACCAAATAGAAAAAGTAAAACTTAGAATTTCTCTGATTTTATGACTTGGATCCCCATTTACATTTGATAACCAGTGTATGCCTTTCATGTGTAAGATAGTGTGGCCATTCTACATGGGCAACTATTTCTGATTAACTTTCTATTTGTTTTCTCTTAGAGACTGTGTAAAACGTTTGTGTTTTATCTACCCAAATAGGGCAGAGTAAAGTGTTGTCAAGAAACTTCTTCGTAAAAATATAGTTTAGTTTACAATTTTAGTAGCACATTAAACTATTTTCTGTGACAATACTCACATATGTATACCCACATATGTAAACTCTTCCCAATCACATCTGTTAGCTTTCATATAAATATGGCCCCTATGTTATAGAAGATTCCTAAAGTCCTGAGGGAAAATTAGTTCAAAGTTATGTAAAAGTGATTTGGAACAAGAAAGGAGTATAGAATCCACAATTCTACACCTGGATTCAGGAGAATTACCATTTAGATACAGTACTGACCCCGACTCAGGAGATTTGTTTTGATATTAAGAGAGCTCTTTTGTATCACCAATATCTTTTCAAGCTAGGATGTTACTGCATTTTTCAAAAAATTACAAACTAATAAAATCTAAGGGAATTCGCCAGATTTCTAGAGAGTTTAAATTCCACACATGCAAACTGTCAGCTTTAAGTAAGTCATGCAAAACTCTATTTAAATGAGTCAGCCTTTCCCTGAATATGGAAAATGGGAAATGTTATTTGGTAGTTAGAATAAAATGGTTTGAATGGAGAGGAATAGATTAAACCTGCTCACAGTCACTGAGCAGAGATAATAAGAGATGATTTGAAAGTGGAAATAGTCATTTGTGATGGACTTTGCTGTTAACACACTAGCAAGTGTGAATGCTTTAGAGAGCATGGGTGAAACCAATAAGCATGCCTCCATCCTTGTAAATGAAGCATTCACTGGAGGTTCCTTCCTGCTAGAATTTCATTCAGTTTGCTCTTGACTTTCATTTGCCAACCAGCCCACAAGGGACACAAAATAGAAATACATCAGTGAATTCAAAGCAGGAAACCCTGTGGAAAAGGTCCCCTGAAGAGATCTTAGCAGGGTGATTCCTAATTGACAACCAAGATTCATACAAAAGAATGCTAAGGGCATATTATTTTAATTACATGGTGGCAGAGAGCTTAAGGGCACAGCTTAGGACTTATACAAAACAGGATTCCAGACCTGATTTGTGCCTATTTTTTGTGCTAGCTTTTATGGGCAAGTTAATTTCTTTGAGTCTCAGTTTCCTTGTTTGTAAAAGAGAAATAATTGTGATACACATTCACCATGGATTGCATTAGGTCATAGATACAAAATGCTTGGCACAACACCTGGTCCACAGTAAGCTGTCAATAAATGTTACTTAAAAACCAAGACAAAAACAACTCTATCACAATTATATACTTTTTTGACTGTTTGCATATAGAAGTAATGTATTGACAAGCATTCTAAATACTTCATTGAGTAATGTTTTTCAAAGTCTTACTATGCACCTGTGCTGAAGCCCTGAAGTCCCCAGACACCAAGATAAGACATATTCTAGGAAACATGTAATTTGTGGGTAATTTATGGGATAGGGCCCATAAATTCCATCAAGTTTCCAGACCTCTGGACTTTTAATATCTTACCACTTGCAAAATATGGAACTTAATTGATAACTTCCCATACCACAATTCCCTCCCTAAACTCTCTCCTGGGGGAAGAAATCAGCTTGCAATGGCCATTTTTTTCTCATTCTCTTTACCTCTTTTAAACTGCCTTTTTATGTAAAATGCTTTCTGTGACTGATAAATGTCCTCTTCTATGTGCACTAGTTAATTACTTCCCAAAGCATCTGTTGCTTTTCAAAAGAACATGTTCCACACGTTCTTAAAAATAGCTTTTCTTTCTACAAAATTTAGTTAAGTCATTCTGTGTGGGGAATAAGATAAAGTACCTTCCAATTGTTAGGCACCTATTATCTGTCAGGTATTTCTCTAATAATTTTCTTTAATCCTTTTAGCAACCCAATGAGAGGGGGAATCTTATACCCATTTTCCACATCAGGAAAAAAAAGAATCATAGAAATCAAATTATTGCTACATAAATTATACCTACATTTACCTCTGTATTTGTTTTAATTTTTTTGGTGGGGAGAATGTTTTCTGATTTGACATCTGGATTGTGGAAACCATATGATACAGTCCTATTATCTCCCTTTTAGAAAAAAAATTATAATAACACCATCACTATCAAAATCACTTCCTAAAATACTCATTAATTTTAGATTTTGGAGCATCAACCCCCCAGCAAAGGGCTCTATATACAGTAAGTAAGCATAGAAGACAAATTTAGTAAGCAAAATTCTAAGATGGTCTCCAAAATTCTGCCCCTCTGCTTAAATATCCCCAATATAATCCTCTTCCCTGAAGTGTGAATGAAATTTATAAATATAATGGGTCATTATGTCTGTGATCACGTAACGTTATTTAGCAGAATGGAAATATCAGATTTAATTAATGTCCCTAATCAGTTGACTTTGAGTTAATAAAATAGAGATTATCTTGGGTTGGCCTGATCTAATTAGATGAATGCTTAAAAGAAATCAGATGGATTCAAAGTGGGAGATTACTGCTGCTTGCACCGAAGAAGAAAACAGCTCTATTGTGAACTAAGTATGGATGGGGTCCCATTGCAAAGAACCAAGGATGGCCTCTAGTTGCTGAGGGCAGTCTCTCACCAATAGTCAACAAGAAAGGGTGTGACTTACTCTGATAACAGCAAGAAACTAAATTCTGACAACAACCACACAGCTTGGAAGTGGACCCTGAGCTTCCAATGAGATTAGAGTCTTGACTGACACTTTGACTTCAGCCCAGTGAGACCATGAGTAGAGGATCCAGGACAGCTATGCCTAGACTCCTAGCCCATACAAACTGTGAAATAATAAGTGTATATTATTTTAAGCCTCTAAATTTGTGGTAATTTGTTACACAGTACTAGAAAACTAGTAGGTCAAGTTAAATGCCAAATACGGCATAGACAGTAAGTACTATAGAAGTCTGGCAAGGTAAAAATAAATCAATTTGGGGATGGGAGGGATGGTTATACTGCTGCAGTAAAAGTGTCTTCAACTCAATAAAGATTGATGTTTCATGCCAAAGTTTTCAATTCTACTTTCCTTTGTAATATGTCATTTTCTTAGATTGGTTTCCCCAGAAGCCAACCCTAAGACAAGGATTCAAGTGCAAAAAATTCATTATGGAAATGCTCTGAGGAAAATCTGGGCAGAGGAAAGGAAAAAGCCAATTGCAATTTTAAAGGGGCAATTTAAGGCAAAATCTCAGAGATAGCTGAATCTCATATGAACATCCATGTTGTAATTGTACTCTAAACTTTATCCTTACTTGAGACAAGGGTACAGGCACTGCCAACTCACTGCATGCAAAAGCAAATCAGAAAGCTGCCTCAGTAATTTAAGAGAAGTCTTTGTAAGTCCTTGTAAGAGAGACACAGGTGTAGACAGTTAGAGAAAAAAACAAAAGATGTGCATGATAATTTCCCAGAAATGTATAAAAGGAGGTGAGTGCATCTAGCTAATGTATGAGCAGTATATACTAAAATTACGAACCATTAAAAAGATTACAATTAACAGCTTAATAACTCTAGAGTACTGCTTATGAAACAAATTACAAACAATAAATTGATTAAGAAATTGAGTCTCTGACTACTACTGTGGCTGCCATTCATTAAATGACTACTAAGTTCCAGACACTATTTCATTTAATGCTTAGCACAACCTTATGACATTAGTTCTATTATAATCCTTATTTTATACTTAAGAAAAATTTTGGATCAGGGAGATTAAACACCCTTAACCAGTGGACACTTTTTGTACATGAGTGAGCTAAAGTTTGAATGCTTTGAGTCAAATTGTGTCCCCATTCCATTACACTAAGCCACTATATCTTCTGTAGGCTTGAGTTGAGATGTTGGCAAATTATGTAAAAATAACAATCATAAAAAGCACTTACTGTGTGCCAGTATTTCAAGTACTTTACATAGTTAATATAAAACCCAAGAGTGTATGTCTTTATCATCATTTGGGGTGAGGTGTGTCATATACTTTGGGCCTCACAATATACAACAATGAGAGACACTCTAATATCCTGGAAAGATTGTGCTTACAATTTATTTTTCTCCCATTCTCCTTTCCCTCATTTCTTTTGCTTCCTTTATATATTGATTTATTATTTAACAAACTGGTATTGGGTAACAAATTTATGATGAACCCCATGATGGTATTTAATAAGGTATAAAAGATCATATAAAACCTGCCTCCTAGGAACCTACAATGTTTTACAGAAAATCAGATGAATGCATAAATGCCTATAACATAAGAGGTACTATTCTATAGATATTCAAGGGTGAAAGAAATTGTATTTATTAGAAATTTTTGACAGCTGAACTAGACTTTGAAATGGATTTCAGACTTGTTGCAACGGAAGGAAAAACCACCTTAGATGGAAGGAACAGTGTGAACAAATCTGTGAAGACAGGAAGGAGTAGGTTTTCTGGTATTCAGGTAGTTCAATTTGTTTGTAGCAAAGAAAAAGTTAGGGGGAGGACAATGTAGATGGGAGCCAGGTGATGAACTCTGAATGCCAAATTAAGAAGTTTAGGCTTTAATTTTTGCTCACAGCTCAAAGTTCCAATTTCTTTTTTTTTCTTTTCTTTTCTTTTTTTTAATTTGAGACGAAGTATTGCTCTTGTCACCCAGGTTGAAGTACAGTGGCACGATCTCGGCTCACTGAAACCTCCACTTCTCCGGGTTCAAGTGATTCTCCTGCCTCAGCCTCCCAAGTAGCTGGGATTACAATCATCCACCATCTCGCCCAGCTAATTTTTGTATTTTTAGTAGAGATGGGGTTTCACCACGTTGGCCAGGCTGGTCTCGAACTCCTGATCTATGGTGATCCACCCACCTCGGCCTCCCAAAGTGCTGGGATTACAGGCGTGACAACATTCCAATTTCTAAAACTGTTTTGGGTAAGAAAACAATCAGATTTTGGAAAGTACTTAATGTATATTTTTACTCAGGATAATGGTCCATCCCTTGATGCAAAGCCAGAGGGATATTTTAAGAGATTTTGTGTTGGTTTTTTCTTTTTGGAGGCAGTCGGGGGCGGTTTGCTTTTTCACTGGATACCAGAGAAGAGGATAATGTGAGTTGAACCTCCTCTGAAACATTTTCGTATGGCCAAGGAACACCTGCCACAAGATTGTGTTTATTTTTTATGTCTTTTTAATCTGCTTACCAATTTTCAGTTAGAAAACAAAGCAACTAAAGGCACATTAAGTCTGAAAGCACCATAATCCTCACCTCTCTCTTAGATCAGTATCGCTTCTATTGAACAAGTTTAATTGTTTTTTGTTTCTATTTAAGGAGAGGGATAAAAACCTTATATATGAAACTTTCACTAATAACCTGAAACATCACCACAGAGACAGTTGGGTTATCCTGTTTGTTTGGACATCCACTTATTCACTTGAAATGCAGGTATGTAAAGTTGAGCACAGAAAATAACGAGCAAGTACTATTAGCAGTTTCATTATTAGCCAACAGATGTAAATCTCAAATTGAACAGCATCATGTCAAAGGAAAAAGTACCCTATAAGAATGAATTTTTGAATGTCTTCCAGGCTGCGATTAAACAACCCAATGTTTCCTTCATTCAGAAGTTCTACCACTAGCAACTGTTAGGCACTCTATGCCTCTAAATGCACATAGATAAGGTGGACATGTAATTTATTTTACAAAGAGGGATGGTTGTTATAAGAAAAGGAAAGAATATTAATAATATGGTAATGCAATCAGCATACATGTGAACTGTCAGGCAAACTGGGACATGCTATCACCCAATTTATATAGAAATCCAAGGAAGTTACGGGATCAAGCATATATCCACACCCATCGCCAACTTTAGCAGTGGGTGTGGATTCTAACTTTAACCAATTCCTTAGAACTTGGGGAAAAAAAAAAAAAAGCTCTGTTGGTCTTGTTGGTGACAGAAGAGTGTGTGAGCACCCCCAAATTCTCATTCTGGCCATAATTTACAGTGGCCTAAGAAGGTGTTTGAATTTTACGGATAGATAACTTTTTCTTAAAACCTTAGCCCCAAGATCATATGACATTATTGTTCCAGGGAAGGAAAGAAAGAAATGGGACTTTACAGATTCCCTATCTTGAACACTTTCTTTGGGAACAATGTCCATCATGACCCCAAATATGGAAGTGACTCACTCATCTCAACTCCTTTTTCATGATAGTTACAGGATTTATGGGAAACGTGCCTTTGGTAATGATAGACCAAAACTACTTTCCAGGAAATGCATCTGTGTTGGTCTCTCTCTCTCTGTCTGTCTCTCTCTCTCTCTCCCTCTCTCTTTGTATCTCTCAGCATGTAGACTCTTTGGATGAAAAACTAAGTATGGGCAGGCAAATTATATTTCAATTCTAGCTCTGCCACTTCCTAGCTGAGTGACTCTTGGTTGGATACTTAACCTAGGTGGACATTAGTTTCTTCATCCCTTTATAACACTGCCTAAAAGCCAAGCACTCTGCTAAGTACTTTATATGGATTATATCATTCCAGTTGTCACAACAGACCTTTGGGGTAGTTATTATTATTTCCATTTTAGATGAGAAAACAGATTATTATCTAACCTCTTCCCAGGCTTTATTTTTGTTTATGGCTTTTTAATGGTTATATTTCCAAGTAATGTATAATTTCCAAAAGACAGATTGTGTCTGTTTAGGTCAATACAGACACACATCATGTAATGCTCAGTAAATATTTGTTGAATGAAAGAGTGTATGAATGAATGCAAGAAAGTTGCTAAAAGTGATGTAGCTATTCAGGATCGGAATTAGGAGTTAAACCCAAGTAATCTGAACCCATAATCTAGATGCTTAACTACTTCTTTACATTGTCTTCCTGGCTTATTGTGCCATTGTGAATATTAAGTGAAAAACTTCTTATACTAGGAACTCAATAGATATGACCTCACTTCTTTTCCTTCTTCTTGAATTTGTAGTCCTTGAATATGCTGGGGGAACAAGAACTAAAAAACAGTCACCTTGTCTTGTCCAGCTCTCAAGGTGCTCACTCGTAGTAGAGAATTCATTTAATGGTTTACAATGGGTGAATATCTCTTTCCTTGGCAGGAAATCTATTTGAAAAAAACAAAACAAAACATGATCAGTTACTTGATACAATCATGAGATGTGATCGAGAAAAACTTATTAAGGAATTATTTTGTCAGAGTCAGTCTCTCTCAACAAGGTAAGCTACTTTTTCAATGTTTCTGATTAGAGTAGATCCTTGATGTTTATTATCAGTGTCATCATCATTAATGAAAATAGTACGAGAATATACAAAGATGCATAAGTGAGTAATGGTGTAACATTCTAACATTTCTAAGATGTGAATTTGGATCTTGCCATGCAAGATCGAAATTCGTGGTATTTGTAATGAATGTTATTTGATCCAGTATTCATGGTAAGACTTATAGCTATGGAAAAATAAGCAACCTAAGAATGTGAAAAAATTGGAACCCTTGTACGTAGCTGGAGGGAGTGGCAAATAATCGAACCACTATGGGAAACAGTTTGACAGTTCCTCAAAAAGCTAAACACAGAATTACCATATGACCCAGCCATATGCTCCTAGATACATATAAAAAAATCAAAAACAGGGACTCAAACAGATATTTGTATGCTAATATTTACTGAGGTATTATTTACAATAGCCAAAAGCTGAAAAAATCTTAAAAGTCCATCAAAAAAATTAATGGATAAAGAAAATGTGATATATACATACAATGGAATATTATTCATCTATAAAGAGGAATGAAGCTCTGATACATGCTATAACCTGGATGAATCTTTAAAAATTATGCTAAGTGAAATAGGTCAGACACAAAAGAACAAATATTGTATAATTCCATTTATATAAAATATGTAGAATAAGCAAATTCATAGAGGCAGAAAGGAGATTAAACAAGGGGCTAAGAGAAGACAAAAACCGGAAGTTATTGCTTAATGAGTTATTAAATTTTTGTTTGGGGCGATAAAAGCTTTTGGAAATTGATAGTGGTGATGATTGCATGACATTGTGAATGTAATTAGTGCATCTAAATTGTATATTTAAAAAGTGTCAAAATAGCAAATTTTATGTTTTGGATAGTTTATTATAATTTTGAAAAGATAGAAAAAAATAACAATGTGACTTTTTATTCTCTTCTAGGGCCAAATGTAGTAACTCTCACAAAATAATATAAAATGGGTTTTTTTTAAACAGAAAAAGAAGAGAATGTTTTCTGAAAAATGAAATTTTGGATAAATTTGAAGGGGCGTTAGACTGTGGCAAAGGAAATGCATGACAAATCTTGGGAATAGAATAAGGGAAGAAACTTGGTGAGAGCTATTTTACTTCCAAATTTAAAGATTTGCAGACTTTTCAAGAGAGATTTCTGGTAAATGTTATGAGTCAATTTTGGCACAAAACTTCCTGGAACTAATATCACTATCACAGTATTTCTCAGCATGAAAATAGGTCTCAAAGTCAACAATTTGGGGTATTTGGGGTTAAATTGATTATATAAGCCCAATAATAATAAGATTATGTAAGTCCAATAATAATAAAATTATTATTGCAGCTCTGCTCACACTGTTTAATATGCTAATGTACATTGTAAATTACCAACAAAAAGATCCTGTCTTCAGCAGTTCCCAAATTCAATTTACCATAGAATTCATTTAAACATATTATCACTAAGACAAATATTTATCCAAACGGCAGTCTTGTTGGAGCTGCCACACATCATGTCTACTCCCTTCTCAAATGAGAGGCCAAATGCGATAAACTATAGCTTTGATAAAAAATATTCATATCCCTCCCAGGATGAAGATTAATTTTCTCTATTCACCTGTTGTTAGGCATGCTCTTGTAACCTGCTCTGGCCAATAAAATCTGAGTGAAATTTCCTGGAAGAGCTTTGTAGAATCAATATGTGGTACTCATTCTTCTTCTACGAGATGAGAAATGTTCTATATCGAAGCTACTCTGTCAGCCAAAATAGTGATAGACATGTTCTGAATGAGGGAGAAAAATAAGGGCGAATATCAATGATTGAAAAGGTACACTAGTAGACTGTATTACTGTTTAAAACTATTTTCTACTTTTCCCTGTAGAAGGATTACATTTCTCTTTCTCAATAATATCAAGCACGGTCATGGTGAAACGGGAAAAGTTCCCTTGTCCTCCTCGCAGGGCTGTGCGATGAGGTGTGGCTCACTTCTTCAGCGCCCCGCTGCTCACACCTCTAGGGGAGCATACAGACAGGGAGGCTGTGAGGCTCCAACCCCGTGACAGTGTCTAGGGGTGGATGTTTACAGCTGAAGCCCCAGTGGGTGTGTGTTACAGGGTGCTCTTTTAATTTAGCCATCCGTAAGTGGCTTGTGTTAGCTCAACCCCTGCCTTATTGCAAGGACAGAGGGCTTTCTGTATGCCGGGGTTCTTGCCTTGGTGTACCGGAAGAATCAGATCACGCGTGGGCTTGGAGAATGACTGCTAGGCTTCATTGAGAGGAAGAAGCTCTCAGCAGATGGGGGAGCCAGAAGGGAGATGGTTTTCCCCTGGAGTCTGGCTGCTTGGCTGCTGACTCATCTCTGACTGCCTCAGCCAAACTCCATGTCGTTCCACCAGTCAACGGCCTGCCAGCGTGCTGGTGTCTGTCATGTGCTCTTCTGCTGGCGTGCTCCCCGCAACGTCCAGCTGCTTGTGTCTTCTTCCACCAGTGTGTTTCTCTCGACGTCCAGCCATTTGTGTGTGTGCCCGTTAGGGTCTCGGGTTTTCACAGGCACGGGATAGGGGCGTGGCAGGCCAGGATTGTCCTGGGAAATGCAACATTTGGGCAGGAAAATAAAAATGCCTGTCCTCACCTAGGTCCGTGGGCAGAGGCACAGAAGGGAGCCCTAGCCAGGGACCACGCCCTTCCCCACTTCTGTGTCATTTAAAGGGACCATGCCCTTCCTTTCGCAGCCCTTCCCTTCCCCTCCTCTGTATCAATGGGGCTTATTTGGCCAATTCCATGTGAGCAGAAGTAATGTGTATCCCACGTAGTGAGCCAACGTATGGTGTGCTATACTTATTTTCTCTATCTATCATACTGGTATTAGTCCAAATTGAGTCTATTCAGTAAGTGTGGATCTTAGATTAAAGACGACACAGAGAAGAGCTGCAGCCTCAATGTCTTACTCTGGTATGAGTAAGAAATGAATCATTATTATTTTAGACCACTAACAGTTTGGAGCTATTTGTTACCTCAACATAGCCTAGCTTAGCCTGATTAATAGACTAGGAAACTCATCATAGGCTAATTAAGTATCCCATCTCCATAGACACTGTGAGTGTTCCAGGAATAGGCTTATAGGTCAAGCCAAACTAACATCCTTTCCCAGCATTTTTTGAATTTGAAAAGTTGGTTTCAGTCTTTATTTTTTCTCTTTGTGTTTCAGTTTTACAGTTTCTATTTTTATGTTTTCAAGTTCACTAATGTGTTCTTGTACAATCTCTAATTAGAGGTCAATTTCATCCAGTGAGATTTTTATTAAATTAAAATTATTATTTTTATTAAATAAATTTAATAAATTTATTAATAAAATTTATTGAATTTATTAAATTCATTTATCAAATTTTACTCATTACAATTAATAAAATACCATATTTTTATTCTAGAATTTCCCTTTATTTCTCTTACCTTTATGTTGTTTTCTAAACAACTGAACATAATGTTTAGCTGTTTTAAAATGCAAATCTGCCTGTTCTATCACCTCTAAGTTTTCTAGATCTGTATTTGTTTCCTACTTTTTCTTCTGGGTATGAGTCACATTTGCTTGCTTCTTGAAATGGTTATTTTCACTGACTGCTGAACATGGCAATATATATTATACTGTTGGATGTTCCATTTAATTGTATTGTTTTAAAGAACGTGGGGCATTTTTCCATCAGGTAGTTAAAACATTTGCATACTGGCTCAATATTTTCAAGCTTGTTTTTAAGTTAAAAGAAATTCTAGTGAAGTCTTTACTTTGGATATAATTTAGCTACAGCATGTAGTAAAGGCATGACATTTCTGTTACAGGAAAGGGGTCCCGATCCAGATCCCAAAAGAGGGTTCTTGGATCTCGCACAAGAAAGAATTCAGGGCGAGTCCGCAGTGCAAAGCAAAAGCAAGTTTATTAAGAAAGTAAAGTGGGGAAAGAACAGCTACTCCATAGATAGAGTAGGGCGTTCCTGTAAATGAGAGGAGGAATGCGTCCACCCTAGGTATAATGCTCATAAATATATATAGGATAAAAAAAAAAAAAGAGCATGCACAGATGTACTCCTCTATAAGGGTTTGTGATAAATGATTAATTTTCTTAATTGCTATATTTTGTAAGACTCGATATTATTATCTTTAAGGCAAAATTAGGAATGTCTTTGTTCTCAGGTTATCAGTATATCAAGACACTCCCAAGTCCGGGTCTGTTTAGTAAACATTATCAATCTGTTACCTTAAACATAAACATCGAGAAGCTGGGAATATCTAACTCTGGGAATGCAGCCCAGCAGGTCCCAGCTTCATTTTCCTAGTCCTCACTCAAGATGGAGTCGCTCTGGTTTGAATGCCTCTTTAGGGTCTCTCCTGAATGCCCTTAGTATTCAATAATGACTGGCCATTTTACCAGGGTGAAATTCAAATGCTTTCAAGCTCTATGTGAGTTTCCGGAATTGTTAAGGTTTTATTGTACTTGGTTGTTTTTTGCCCAGCCTCATGGAGTTTCACAGCCAAGGCTTAAGGGGCCTCTCAGGGGGGCTGTTTTCCCCTATGGCTCCCTCTTTTCTAGAAATCTATTCTGCAAATTCCAGCTACCTCATTTTCTCTGAACTCTTATTCTGTCTCATCAACTCAGTGAGACTGCCATTTTCTGGTTAGGATGGCTCTCACTGCATCACTGTCCAGATATTGCTTCCGGGCAAAAATCTGTGTCAAATTTAAGGCTCATCTTGTTTTCTTTCCTACTCTCAGGAAACACAGTTTTGTACTACATGCCATCTACTGTCTGAAAACAACTTTTTAAAAATATATTGTAATTTCTTTGTTTTAAATTTTTTACAGTATAAGTCCAGTCCAACTTATTCCGTGGTGGCTGAGAATAGAATTCCCATCATTACTGTTGCTTCTTTTATGAGTTACAAAAGTGGGATGCATTTTGTTCTGGTAGCTTTAACAGCTATCCATATTGGTATTGTTTCTGACATTGCCCTGCTGCTGGTGCTGCTCTTAGAAGACTAAGTATTTTAGGAAATTCCATTATAATTTCTAGACAAAATTTGTGTTGCTTAGTAAATTCTCTTCATTATAAATTATTTTAGAGATATGGGTGCTTTAAACAAACTTTCCTCTGTAGGTTTTACATATTAATATTAGTTACTATTTATTGGGTACCTGGGTACCTGTTATGTGTCCCATTTATATCAGTGATCTCTAATTTACCTGATAGCTTGTATATTAAAGGAGGTATTATTTATTTCACTGCAGAGATGGAAAATGTTTTATTTAAACCATTAAATTAACTTACGTGGCTTACATAGCTAATAAGACAAGGAGCTATAATCTGAACTCAAGGCTTTCTGTCTCTTTTTCTAGTATGGCATAAAAAAGAAAATCTAGGCCAGGCACTAAAGATACCAGTCCTGTCTTCCATTGATACTCCAAGTGAGATCTGTAAAGGGCTTCTGATTTGAGACTTAATTTTCCACAATGGAATGAGAATCTTGCTTTAAATGTAAATGAACAAAGCCTCTGAGAGGATCATTATAGTCCTGGTGACAATTTCCATGGCAAAACTTTCTCAATGAAGGAATCAGTCAACTATTAATAGTATTATTTTTTAAATATACTGTGGCAAGCTACTTATATCATCATAAACCAGCAACATTTCATGGACTGGTTAAACTTGGAGTGTACTGTCCTATACTCTCTGGCTTCTTAAAACTCAATGAGTCCTACAACTTTCCTAAATAACAGTTCTTCGACTGAAAATAAGAGACTTGAATGAGAATTCCTTGAACATCTTTTTCAGCTCTTAGCATCATTTAATGGTAATAAGTTATATAGGAATTAACATATATGACATACAGTGGCAAACTAAGAAAGTTAATACATGTCTTTCATTTTTCACATTATAGTACTGAAAAATGTCTGGAAAAATTATATATGTATATAAATTATATATATATAATTAAATAGCCATAGGATTATATATATATAATATATATATATAGTATATATACATTATATATATATATAGGATATATATATATATATAGGATATATATATATATATATATATATATATATATATATATATCCTATTTAAAACATTAGGAGACCAGATCTTTACATAGCATGTCATTTAAACACACAGGCTTTGTTGACAGATTAACCTAAATTCACGTCCTGTTTGCCACTTACTAGTTATATGGACTTGAGCAATTTCCTTAATTTCTGAGCTTCAGTTTAAATTATTGGAGAATAGGGGACATTAATGCCTAGCTCCCAGAATTTTTGTGATTACTGAGCATGAATATAAATAGTTCAACTCATCATGTGTCATGGTATAACCAATTAAACATAGTATTGATTATTAAATCGATGAGGTGTGTGTGTATTACCTTGGTGTCACATAGCCTTTTTACCTTACCCATGTTATATTGCTCATATACTGTCAGCTTAAATAAATATAATAATTAAATAGTTATGTTTTATTCACAGAATTACCCTGTAAGCTCCTTCAGAGCAGGTAACATGGCTTAGAAAAAAATGTGCAGAGTTTATGTACAATTACTGTGATTGAATAAGCAGATAAACTAATTAGCACCCTAAATTTATAACAATATACTAAGTTTTACTGAACAACACAATAGTGTCACATTCACGGGTAATTACATATCACCTAGGCACAGCATAGTACCTTAGAGAATAATTTGAATGTTGGATACAAAAGCTCGGTTTTTTATTAACTTTTATTTCTGCCTGTATTAGTTTGCTCGGGCTGCCATAACAAAATGCCATGGACTGTGTGGCTTAAACAACAGAGATTAATTTTCTCACATCTCTGGAGGCTACAAGCTCAAGGTGTTGGCAGGTCTGGTTTCTCCCGAAGCCTCTCTCCCTGGTTTGCAGGTAACTGACTTCTCAGTATGTCTTCACCTGGTTTTTCCTGTGTGTGTGCCTATCCCTGGTGTCTCTCAGAGTGTTCAGATTTCCTTTTCTTATAAGGACACCAGTCAGATTGGATTTGAGCTCACCCTAACAGCCTTATTTCTAACTTAATCACATCTTTAAAGATCTCACCCCTAAATATGGTTAGATTCTGCAGCATGAGGGGTTACAACTTCAACATATGAATATTGGGGAACACAGTTCAACTCATAACACTGCACTTTTCCTCTTTGTCTTGAATAAACCTGTTGATTAGCTGTCGAAATTTGGATGAGTAACTTGCTGTTGTATCTTTCTGTGTTAGGTGCATCCATGTGGGTGAGTATGTTTAAAACAAACACCTCAGGATATGTGATATGCTAAATGGAAAAGTAAGGAAAACATACAAGATTGCCGTGTTTTTCATCGAGTCACTAGTGCAATTCCTCAGATTTCTGACAAGCTGCCTACATCCCTTGGGAAGGGGATTTGTAGTGAGGCTACTATAAAATTAGTATTTGATTGGAGATGTTTAAAAACTTCAGGAGAGTATCCATTTTACACTTGAAATTTTATGTCAAGAAATTTTGCTTCTCCCTGAGGAGCAAATCTCAAGTGATATTTGAAGTCAAGGTACGTTTAATCCTTTGCTTTTTTTTTTCCTTTTTCTTTCTTCCTTTTTTTTTCTTTTGCCTTGAGTATGCACTGTGTTTCCAGCTGACAGATCTTTATGTCTCTTCTTTGGAATTGCATTTCACACAACCCCTGAATCACCACAGAGAGTCACCATGATTAATCAATGAAGGCCAGAAAAATGAAAGAGTAACCACTTATCCGTGCTCAGTTTCCTTTGATGCAATACACATAGGGGGAGCTTGAGTTTTGAGTTTGAAAACTAAATTTGATTATAGGCTGAACTTTTTAATATATGGAGCTGCTTCTTCTTTGCATTTAGACATCTGCTCACGCAGAAATTTGTTCAAAGCATATGCAAAGAATGAATCAGAATTAATAATGGAGCTAGAAAAATTTATTTTTAGAGAGAAACACTGTATTTGTATAGACACTCTCCTTATTTTATGGAGTCTTCGGTGCATGGAAATATTGGCTAACAAGTTATGGCTATCTCAGTGACAGAGATTCAACTATTGGTGATTTTGGATTTTAACAAATAAAAATAAAAATATTTGCTCACTTCTGAAATGTTTAAACAGGTTTCCTAATTCCTGTAAATTGAGTAAATGTAATTCCTATAAATGAGCAGACCTATACTTAAAATTTTCTTTCTGAATTCTCCAGAATAATTAAGTTAGCTATCAGCAATTATAGAATAGAAAGACAGGATTTATTTCTACCATGTGCATAGATTCCTTCTTCTTTGGTTGTGATTACTGATGTATCTTTCTTTATCTATTTGTGATAACCTTTTATGACAGCTGTTGCCCATCGTTAGATGCCAGCTGGATTCCTCTATGTATATAATGTTGCTAGCTTTTATAGAGCTTTTAGAGGAGTTTTATTAATGGATTATAGTGAAGTTGAAGGAAGATTATTTGTTTAAGCTTTCACTTCACCAGAGGTGGTCTAACAACACCAAGTTTGAGTGCAGCTTAAATTATAAACTTAATATTTGGGCCTCATTTTGATCAAATGTTCTTTCACACTTAGTTTCAAGATTGTGTTCTTTATTAGCTTCTCAAACTATGATACTAAACAATTCTGTGAAAAACCTGAAATAGGAGTTCTTCACTTTTAATCAAGTGAGAAACCATTTGGAACAGTCTTACAGAGCCATGAAACTCCTCTTCAGCAAAACGCATGTAGGTACTTACATGTATGTTTTTGCATGCAAGTTCAGTGTAATGGATACTTTGATGCTCTTTTGCCAATCTATTTAAAAAAATATGTAATCCTTCCTAATAATTTGGCCCTAAGAATTTTCTGGGATCATTTCTTTGCCTCGGTTTATGTAATCTCAAGAAGATTGGTGTTTCTGCTAAGGTTTTGTTTAAAAGTAATAACACTTACCCATAATAATGAACACACTATCTAATCTCCATTTTAAGTCAGGAACAAAAAATTTTGCTTTGAAATCATTGCAATAAAAGCCCTAGACCCAGATCATTAAGTCTAGTTAAGTCAAGAATATTTATTATAAAAATAATCACATAAAAAACTGAATATTGACTTTATGCACCTCAGAATAAAAGTATATAACTTCCAATTAAATTATTATATGCTGGTAAATTGCAATTTATATATTGATATGCCTATGGTATGGATTAATGGTAGTCAGACAGTTATATAGTATTGTACATCAAATACCTATTTTATATCAAGAATTGATCCAGTTACTGAGAAAAGTAAATACATATTTGACATGAATCTAAGGATTTATGAATATTGCAATCAAGATAATACATCAACCAATTAGAGAAGTATTATACATACCAAGTTGTGGAGGATTTAGAAAAATCTTTTTGAAAAAGAGTATTACAAATAAAATATTTTGTTATAGATGACATTTGGATAGACAGGGTCAGGGAGGAAGCATTTTGGTTTGTAGCAATTTTTGCTGAAACAAATAAGGATACACATTCATTGTGTTAATCATTTATATCTACCATGTACACCTGCCTCTTGCTGCCAAGTTTGCACCCTAACGAATGTACCTTAGATGATAAAATAGTCTTCATTTTATACCATTTGTTCACATAAGTATTTCCAGTCGAAATAAGATCTTGATTATAAACAATTATTTACTTGTATTAATCTGTTTGTGCTGACGTAACAAAATATCACAGACTAGGTGGCTTAATTAAACAAGATAAATGTATTTTTTTTTCACAGTTTTGGAGGATAGAAGTCCAAGTTCAAGGTGCCAGCAGAGTCAGTGTCTGATGCGGCCTCTTGACTTGGGTTGTAGACACTGTGGTCTTGCCTTATGCTCCCTATGCTCACATGGCGTATTTATACATGCACAAAAAAAGAGTTCAAGCCCTCTGATCTTTTCTAATCCTATGGATCAGGGTCCCACCCTTATCACCTTATTTAATCTTAATTACTTCCTTAGATGCCCTATCTCCAAATACACACACGCTGAAGGCTAAGACTTCAACATATGAATTCTGAGGGGAAAACATTCAGCCCATAACACTACTTTTAAGCAAATAATAATAAAAGGGATAAGACAGAGATAAAGAGATAGAAAATGTACAAAACATTAAAAGATATGGAGAAGAGTAGAAGTATTAAACTTCCATTTCTCCCAAAGTAGAGAAACAAAATGTAAACTGGAGGGAGGGAAATAATTAAAAACAACAACTGTATATCTGGAAATGATAAAAACCTATGACTAAATAACTTTTAGATTAAGCAAGAAATCATAAAAGGAATTTAAAATAGGAATCAACAATGTCTGACCTAATTAGTTAAGAGAAAAATATAATAAAACAACACTTTACATCATTTTATACTTACATAGCAGTCCAAAATAGAAAGTCATATAATTTTAAGTGCTAGCAAGCGTATAGGTAGATTGAAGAGCATACATTCATACAAAAATTCCGTAGATTAATTGAGCAGAACTTAGTACACCTAATGACAGAAATTTTCATTGCTGAATATATATCACCTCCTTTCACACAGATTTAAAAGCTAATGAAGTAGCTAGTGCTTCTTGCTTTTATTTTTGATAGTAGGACACTGTGGTACCTTATGCATATTCATAAAGAAAATAGACTAGTAAAATGAGATGGATACATGGCATGGAATACATTGTAATAGTTATGAACAGTAAATCAGATGTATCAGCCAACATGAATATATCTTTAAAACATAAGATACCTAACACATTATATGTAAATCAAAAACATATGTAAATAAAAAATAATGATTTTAACTTTTATTTTTTTTTATATACTTTAAGTTCTAGGATACATGTGCACAATGTGCAGGTTTGTTACATATGTATACATGTGCTATGCTGGTGTGCTGCACCCATTAACTTGTCATTTACATTAGATATATCTCCTAATGCTATCCCTCCCCACCTCACAACAGGCCATGGTGTGTGATGTTCCTCACCCTGTGTCCAAGTGTTCTCATTGTTCAATTTCCATCTATGAGTGAGAACATGTGGTGTTTGGTTTTTTGTCCTTGTGATAGTTTGCTGAGAATGATGGTTTCCAGCTTCATCCATGTCCCTGCAAAGGACATGAACTCATCCTTTTTTATGGCTGCATAGGATTCCATGGTATATAGGTGCCACATTTTCTTAATCCAGTCTATCATTGATGGACATTTGAGTTGGTTCCAAGTCTTTGCTATTGTGAATAGTGCTGCAATAAACATATGTGTGCATGTGTCTTTATAGCAGCATGATTTATAATCCTTTGAGTATATACACAGTAATAAGATTGCTGGGTCAAATGGTATTTCTAGTTCTAGATCCTTGAGGAATCACCACACTGTCTTCCACAATGGTTGAACTAGTTTACCATCCCACAAACAGTGTAAAAGTGTTCCTATTTCTCCACATCCTCTCCAGCACCTGTTGTTTCCTGACTTTTTAATGATCGCCATTCTAACTGGTGTGAGATGGTATCTCATTGTGGTTTTGATTTGCATTTCTCTGATGGCCAGTGATGATGAGCATTTTTTCATGTGTCTGTTGGCTGCATAAATGTCTTCTTTTGAGAAGTGTCTGTTCATATCCTTCACCCACTTGTTGATGGAGTTGTTTGTTTTTTTTCTTGTAAATTTGTTTGAGTTCTTTGCAGATTCTGGATATTAGCCCTTTGTCAGATGAGTAGACTGCAAAAATTTTCTCCCATTCTGTAGGTTGCCTGTTCACTCTGATGGTAGTTTCTTTTGCTGTGCCGAAGCTCTTTAGTTTAATGAGATCCCATTTGTCAATTTTGGCTTTTGTTGCCATTGCTTTTGGTGTTTTAGACATGAAGTCCTTGCCCATGTCTATGTCCTGAATGGTATTGCCTAGGTTTTCTTCTAGGGTTTTTATGGTTTTAGGTCTAACATGTAAGTCTTTAATCCATCTTGAATTAATTTTTGTATAAGGTGTATGGAAGGGATCCAGTTTCAGCTTTCTCCATATGGCTAGCCAGTTTTCCCAGCACCATTTATTAAATAGGGAATCCTTTCCTCATTTCTTGTTTTTGTCAGGTTTGTCAAAGATCAGATGGTTGTAGATGTGTAGTATTATTTCTGAGGGCTCTGTTCTGTTCCATTGGTCTGTATCTCTGTTTTGGTACCAGCACCATGCTGTTTTGGTTACTGTAGCCTTGTAGCATAATTTGAAGTCAGGTAGCGTGATGCCTCCAAGTTTTGTTCTTTTGGCTTAGGATTGACTTGGTAATGCAGGCTCTTTTTTGGTTCCATATGAACTTTAAAGTAGTTTTTTCCAATTCTGTGAAGAAAGTCATTGGTAGCTTGATGGGGATGTCATTGAATCTATAAATTACCTTGGGCAGTATGGCCATTTTCACGATATTGATTCTGCCTTTCCATGAGCATGGAATGTTCTTCTATTTGTTTGTGTCCTCTTTTATTTTGTTGAGCAGTGATTTTAACTTTTAAAAGACACATATTAAACACATTATAATAAACGCTGTGGGGAGGGTAAGGAATAGCATATAAAGAAAAAAGATGAAATAGA
This sequence comes from Homo sapiens, assembly GCF_000001405.40. Lineage (NCBI taxonomy): Eukaryota > Metazoa > Chordata > Mammalia > Primates > Hominidae > Homo > Homo sapiens. The sequence goes on along the minus strand of NC_000011.10, from coordinate 42,056,103 downwards.
ACACAACAAGGAAGGGAACCCCCCAAAGGACAATAACAATAGTTTTTATAAACTGATGTATTAATGAACCTCTTGAAACCTCAAATCTAAGGTTTATTTTATTTTATGTAAGATAAAATAAAGGATTTAGTAAGATAAAATAAAATACTAGGATGAAATTTAATTGTAGAATAATTAACTTTTTCTGAGATGAATAGAAAATTTGAAGCTTAGCTAAAAAAGTAATGAACTGAATTATCTACATGGAAAAGCAGATGTGTGGGAAAACATCCATTAAATAATTTGAAGTTTGTCCCAGAGTTACTTGTTGACAGTAAATTTTGGAAAGAACTATGTTTTTTAGAATAAAAACATAGTAAGATAATGTAAAAAACATCTAGCACTATTGTTTATCTAAACACAAAGAATTTATAATTTTTGGCCAGGCTGGTCTTGAACTCCTGACCCCAGGAGATCTGCCCACCTCGGCTTCCCTAAGTGCTAGGATTACAGGCATGAGCCATCATGCCTGGCCAACATGGTGAAACTCCGTCTCTACTAAAAAATAAAAAAATTAGCTGGGCATGGTGGTATGCACCTGTAATCCCAGCTACTCAGGAGGCTGAGGCAGGAGAATCGCTTGAACTCAGGAGGCGCAGGTTACAGTGAGCCGAGATCTCACCACTGCACTTCAGCCTGGGCAACAGAGCCAGACTCCATCTAAAAAGAAAAAAATATATATGTATGTGTGTGTATATATGTATATATACACACACACACACACACACACACATATATATACACATATATATAATTGTTAAAGTTTTTTTGTTTATATAAATGTAAAGGTTACAAGTACAGGTTTGTGACATGGATGTATTGCACAGTGGTGAAGTCTTGGCTTTTCTTGTAACCATCACCTGAATAATGTGCAGTGTACTCATTATGTACTTTCTCGTCCTTCACCCCTCTCCCATCCTCCCACCCTAAAGTTTTGTGTCTTGCTCCAATAGAACCCTACAGCCCTGTAATAGGAGAAATATAAGACAACTGATATGATTAATAGATATAGATAAGATTGATAAAATGCTCAGAGGCTAAATTTTTCTTGGTTCTAAAGATAAAGCCATGGGGGAGGAAGAGGACCAATACAGCAAGAAGTAGAGTAAAACTCATAGAGCAACAGGAGGAAAAGTAATGATTCAAGAATCTGGTAATACTTCAAATGAAACGGGTACAAAATGAATTTTAGAAAAATTATCTAAAAACGATTACACATTTTAAATGTGTTTTATTCTAAGTTTTGCTAACTTATGCAGCAGTATCAATTTAAAAATCTTATAGGCATACCAAAACACAATTTATTTCTCACTCTTGTCACATGTTGGTGGCTGCAGACCAGCTACAGCTCAGCTCTTCTCTGCTTCGTGGGTTGTCTTTATTCCAAGAGTCAGGCTGAAGAAGCAGCCTGTATTTGGGAGATGACTTTTTTTTTTTTTTTTTTTTTTTTTTTTTTGGCAGAGCAAGATGACTGGCTCTTAACTCTTTACTGGCTCCTAAAGCTTACACTTAGTCATGCTTAAATCACATCCACTCACATCCCATTTGTCTAAGTTAGTCACACAGATCAAGTCCAATATCAATGGGATGGGGTGTATGTATATTCCTCCCAGTGGAAGTCCAATAAATCTCATGACAATAGGGGATTTATGTTTCTCCTAAGAAATATGAATAGTCAAGAACAATGATATGATCTGCCATAATAAATATCATATATAGGTTGGTCCATTTCCTGATACACCACCTTCCTAGGAATAGAAAATGTTAACTGCTAGTCCTTGCTTTAGGGCAAGTAGGTGAAAGGACTGCTATCATGATGCAGGATTTCCAAATATCAGAATGAGGAGGTCTTTGTTCTGAAGTAGCAAAATCCACATTAGAAATTTTGTTTATTTCTAGGGAGTGTGTTTCCTTTGGTCAAGCAGTTTGGTAATTATGTTCCACCAGGGGTAGGTGTGTATGTATGTGTGCGTGCATGTGTGTTGGTCTGAAAAGAATCTGCTGGTATAGTAATGCTATAAAATATTTCAATTAAGATTCTGTTTGCAGATTTATATTTACTCTGTCTTTTTGTTGTTGTTGTTACTGTTGTTGGCAAGCGCCTACTCTGAGCTGGAAACATTTTCCAGCTCCTACCTCCATCATAGCCCTAGGATGTGTAATCTGGACTGTGGCTTTCTTAACAGTGATGGAAAGATCACTATTGTTACCCATCCTCTGTATACCAACAAATATGAGAATTAACTTGTTAGTGTAGTTTTCATGGAGTAATTTAATTAAAAATAATAATAGTGAGAATTCAGAATTTAGAGGAAAAAAGCCTGAGGGATAAGAGTTGTTCAACTTGGCCAGAGAGATTAGGGAATGCTACACAGGGGAAATATATAAGTTAGGAAGAGATGTGGGAATGAGAAAATATGGTTGAACACTAGGAGGATATAGTAAAGGCAGTGTTGTGCTGGACTTAATTGTGCCTGAGAGCTGATTATTAAATTTTCAAGATTGTGTGAGCTGGTTGTTAAAAACAGCCAGTATTAAAATTTAAATTATATAAACTTTTATTAAAAGCAAAGGTAATAAATACTCAAAGCTTCTCATGTTCCAATTATTTTACTGCTTTTAAAGCTATTTATATCTACTGAACCCATATTATAGACCACATATATAATGGTGTGCTACTACGCATCCTTTCCAACTCCACGTGTAGTGGCATCATGTTGATAACCTAAAATAGGCCATTGTGGGAAGAGTACACCACATAAATTGGCAAATGCTACAAGTCAAGGTGAACTCTGGGGTTTTCTCATGTGTGTGTGTGTGAGATCTAGATGTTAAACATTAAGCGTCACACCACTGATTAAAGCAAAATATAATCTGATCTCATAATCTTAGAAATTTATCCTTGAGTGAATAGAAGTGTGTGTGTGTGCATGTGTGTGTTTATGTGTGTATTACACACAAAGAAGGAGGAAGGAAGTGGGGGAGACAGAGAGAAAAGGAGATGGAAAGCAAAATAGAAACAATGGAAACAGGGAGAACTTCCGCAGCCTTTTCCACACTTATTTGTCTCAAGATTTTACTATAATGAATAAATTTAAAACATTAAATCAATCAACAGTTTTGTGTATAAAACACAAAGACTCTTTTTCCCTAGAGACCTGGGAAGCCATATGCCACCTGTAGAACATTTCCAAGCATCCTTTGTGTGAAAGGTGACCATGTGACTGAATTCTTTCCAATAGGATTTGAGCTGAAGGATGTATATCACTTTCAACCTTTTTCATGAAAATCTTTCTACGTGGCCTTCCCCCTTTCTCATGAGCTACAGAGGTAATGATTGCAGTCACAGAGACTTTACACACCCACGGCTGATGACGGCAGAACCACCAAAATCTGTTCCTAACAGCATGAAGCAATCTCTTCCAGATCCCTAGCCCCCTGCCTTGAACCACACTGACTTGGAAATTTGCTAGATTTTTATGTGAAGGACAAATAATCTCATTGCTCTTGACTTCTTACATTTTGTATCATTTGTTCCAGTAGTTTAGCTTATCCTAATAGTCTATTTTAGGCATGCAAAACATTTAAAGGATAACTGAAGAGTTTTTTCTTTTAATGATATATGGACACGTGGACCCAACCAGAGACATAAACTCAATCTATAATCCCAGTGGATAATATAGATATGCTTTGCTAGATTGTTTGCTTCATCAGGACTGATACACTGCATTTCTCTACAGATATAACTTTTCTTTTTGGGATAAGAGAGCAAGAGAAAACCGAAAAGGGGCTTGATTTTAAAGCAAACCCCAATCTGTTATGAAATTTCAAGATTTGATAAATTGTAAGAGGAAAGGAAGGAGGGAACAGAGACAAAAGATCACAGAAAGAAAATCTAGAATGGGAGAAATGGAGGAGGGAGATCTTGTTTTAAGAAAGACCAATGCATTGGTGGCTCCTAAAGAATGTCAAATTTAAGACTCTTGATCCAACTTTTATTAAAAAAGTAGGCTCTCTGCTCAGTATCTGATGGAATCCACCTGCCAATTATACAGCTTTGCTCCTTTACTATCTGGGAACCCGTTTGGAAACTAGGAATGGTACCAGGCCAACTAAATAGCAGCATATTTGTGAATGAATGAGGCCAAATGAAGGAAGTGGAGAAGTGGAGAAGTGAGAAGTGGTGTGGGTCAAATAGTTATGCAAAGGTATAGAAATATAACGAATCTGGGAGCTGGCTACTGTGGTACACAACTGTAGTCCCAGCTACTTGGCAGGTGGGAGAATCACTTGAGCCCAGGAGTTTGAGGCCACAGTGAGGTATAATGGTGCCACTGAACTCTAGCCTGGTCAACTAGGTGAGACTCTGCCTCTAAATAAATAAATAATATGTAATTAATCCTGGATGTCCTTTCCAAGTGTCTGTATCAGCCCTGTCAAGCAAAACACCAAACTTACTAAATCATAAAGAACTCTTACTCATTCTGACAGCCGATATGACCTGACATTTTAAAAAAATTTAAAGTTGGCATACAAAATATGACTTGTTATCAAGACCTTTTCCTTTTTGTATGATGATGATGATGACAAAAATACTTTTAAGAACAATAAAATAACTAATGTTGGTGTCTCCCTATTTACACACTTTCTCCTGGGTGGTACAGTCACTGAATGTTCTCACCTCCAACACCATCCATTCTTCACCTTTTTTTTTCTTTTTTTCTTTTTTCTTTTCTTTTTTTTTTTTTTTTTTTTTTGAGACGGAGTCTCGCTCTGTTGCCTAGGCTGAAGTGCAGTGGCACAATCTTGGCTCACTGCAACCTCCACCTCCCAGGTTCACACCATTCTCCTGCCTCAGCCTCCTCAGTAGCTGGGACTACAGGCACCCGCCACCATGCCCGGCTAATTTTTTTGTATTTTTAGTAGAAACGGGGTTTCACCATGTTAGCCAGGATGGTGTCGATCTCCTGACCTCGTGATCCACCCGCCTCCCCCTCCCAAAGTGCTGGGATTACAGGCATGAGATACCGCACCCGGCCCATTCTTCACCTTTCTCTATCCTGTTCTGTGCCGTAGAGGTCTCAAGGGGACTGGTCCCTGAAGACTGTTTTACTTGAAGTCTTTGGCCTCTGGCTTACAGTTGGATTAGGCCAAGGAAAGACAGTAGCTAGGAGGACAGAAGGAGAGAGAGATCAATATGGTCAGAAAGTGAAGTTTGAACTTTAATAAAGGCACCTTTTTTTCTTCTAAAGTCAAAGGCCTCATAAGAGGTGAGTAGAGCACTTCTTTGTACATCAAAGGGACTACCTGTAAAAGAGGAATTATAATCCACTCCATCCTTCAGCAAAACAGGGAAAAAAATGTTGGGATAAAGAGATAACAAGAATTTTTCTGCCTTTGCTCTTTAAGAATTATGTGTTCTCTACTAGGAAAGGAAGATACCTACACAAGTATTTTATGATGGCTCAAATGATAAAATTTGTATTCCCAGCTCTTTGGGGTAAATTTTTTCTCCAACATCCTTGCTGTGCTATTACCATCATTATTACCATTAATGTCATTGATAAATGTGCTATTAAAGGGATGTTATGAATTGTTCTGGTTTATTGCAACATAAATTTTTTAAAATCAAAAGCTTTAATCTGTAGATAATACTCACAGTGTTTTCCCATGACACTTGGAATATATGACATATTGACAGGGCCACTCAAACTTTCTTAACATATTCAGCTCCCATCTTTAGCTGTCTTTGATATGTGCATCATACTCACAATTCAGACCTGTTCAGGTCAGCCAAGGTCTACCCAGATCATTTTTTTTGGCTTTATCTGAAGTTAATAACCTAATGGAACTCTTGCTGTGGAATATGCAACAACATAATTGGAGGGAGCAGGTAGGGCTAGTTATGACAGCCTTATTTTTTGTGCCAACCAAAGCATTGCAATATGAATTAGTCCCTCCAAACTGCTTACTCTCGTAATTAAATCTGCTCTAGGAATAGCTGTTTTATAACTGTTACAAATCAAAGAACTATGCCACTGAAGTATTCACTTGCCAGGAGACTGTGACATCTCATCTGTTAAAAAGATGATGTTTAAAAACAGCCACTTCTCCTTTTCTTTTTGAAAGATTGTTTCACTGAATGGACATTTCCTTGAGTTGTATTGAGGGAAATGGGAGTTGAATCAGCAGCACTTACACAATGTATGACTCCTATTACTCTTCTCCCAGGAGCATAGGGATTTGCATGGCCTAGCAGACTGGAGGCTGTAATGATAGAACTCAGAGTGGGTTGGGAGCACTGGAATATCTAAGGATGTATGAGTCCCATGGCGTCCATTTTTCAGAATTCACTTCTTTAGAAGCAGACAGTGCTTTTGAGGACAAAACTAATAGTACCTAATTCCTTGGGTGTTCATTGTGGAATGCTATTATCCATGCTAAGGTAATTTGCTATTAATATGGATGTAATACAAAATGCTATCAAAATTTCCACCCTAATGTAGCCTTCATAAATGTCTATTAGTTAGCAACAGCTCCTGTTTCCCAGTTTGAATTAACCTCTTTGAAGATGAGTGAACATTTTCTGCACAGCACAGCAGTTTGTAGCTAGCTGCAAATGGAGTGGGGTTGAGGGAGAATTAGTTACTTACATAGAGCATGCCTTCATCACATGGATGAACATATGGTACAAATCCAGACAGTGTGAGCCACACAAAATATGTCTCTTCATTAACTATTGGAAGCTCAACAACAAAATAGAACATATGCAACTAAAAACTTGTTTATTATTTACTTCAGTTTAATGATTATCAACTTAATCTGTTGAGCATATATGGTTAGATGTTCCTGGGTTTTATGCGTCTGATGAAAGTAGGATTATTTTATTCCATCAATTTTTGCAATTAGCAGTTAAGAAATTGTGAATGAAATACAAGATCAAGTTAATAACAAATTAATGCTGACAAATTAGAAGGATTTGAACACAGAGACTTGGAAAAGAGAGTAAATCTTTGAATAAAGATAAATTTGAAATGCAGATGAGTAAAACTGTATCTTTGATTCTGCAAATAGATTTAAAGAAACAGAAGGCCTATAAAAATGGTAAATCTTGATAAATGTCTTTTTTTCCATATTTTACTTTTTAAAATTCTGTTCTTTCTGTTCATCTGCATGAGTGACTCTTGTTCTTATGCAGGGGTCCATATCTCATCTCCTTTATTGGACCATGGACTCAAGATAAGAAAACAAGCTTCATTTCTCTCTTATCTCCTTCAGTGCCTAGCATGTTGTTTTGCATATAGTGAGTATTTAAAAGCTGTTTGTTGAATCAAAGTATGAGTGAAGTAGTGGTGATTTACACTGGCTTTATACAATTCACAATTTTAAAACAAATAAGTGAACATACGCTGAATTTCTTAAGCAGATCCCCTGCTCTATTTACATTAGATTTTTCCTAATTTCCTTAACGTATATTCTTAGCATGTCATAATTGAAGATCAGATTAGGGGGTTGTGGTTCATCTGGATCATAGGCTTATCATTAAAAAAAAAAGCTGTGTAAAATTTCTTCTATGAAGCCTGCAAAAGTGGGTTAATAAACCACATAACTCTTTGCACACATAAATTTAATGTACTGATGTTATCCAATTTACAATATGGAGAATATATTTGAATTCTGTTTTTTGGCAAAAAAATAATTCTTGGCCTGGAAAGCAATGCAAATAGATGTCCTAAATTTGCAAATATTTGCTTAGCACTGACACTAGATTTATTTAATGCTATGACTTAAACATATTTTAATAGATTTCTACCATAAAAAGACAGTAAAAGAGTTTGGCCTGCTCAAATAAAATGATGAATAAATAAATATAGCAGCTAATAATAGAAAGAAATATGACATAAATAATGGTAAGCTGAAAAGTAATTGTAGAAGTTTATGGTTATTGGGCTGAATCTAATATGAAACTAAATTTCTGCTGGCATTTCAAGAGCTGTCCTAATTAATCAATTGGTAATTGCAGCTATGATTACCAGCTGTGATTATGATTAATTGCCAATATTGATTGATCCTTCAATAATTCTGGCATGTTCTTCCAAACAGAATCTCTGCTGCATTAAGGAGGATTTGAGAGGCATAGTTATTAAAAGCAAATAACCAAACCCTTCATTCTTATTACAAATATGTCCTCAGGGTACAAGATTTGTAATGGTGAAATCATGGATAGATTCACAGTAGGAGAAAGCCAAGAGAGGACGACATTATTCCAGAGATTATTTTAATGAAATAGACTCATTGTGGAGATGGAGTGTATATTTTATAATGATTCATTTACTTCGGGCTTACATTTATTATACCCCCTACTAGTTGAGCCTTCTTTCATTATAACAGTATGATCTCTTCAGGCCAGCCTGATCACTACCTTTCTTAGTCCTATGGGGAGTGAAAATAAATATCTCTGTGCTTTTCTAACTGCCACGTTATTTTTTGTAAGAAAGGTTAATTATTAAGTGTTTTAGGGAAGTGCCAGGAACTTCAGCAAAGGAAATATTTTTTTCTGGCTTACATCATAAATGAGAAATTCTTGAAAGTCATTTTCTCTAATATGTCATTAACCTAGTGCCAACTGGAGGTGGTAGTTATATTATCAAGGAGCAGTGACACCATGCAGCCTAAAAGGGTGGCTTGTTACCGTGACAGCTCCCCAAAACCATAAATAGAATTTATCATAGAGGAGCTTCTCACTTCAGATTGAAGTAGTGACTTCAGTAAGGTGAGATCATTGGAAAATGCTGAAAATCTCACTCATTTTCAAAAAAGAAAGAAAGGAAACCATTACATATGTTCTACAAGGGCAGGGGACCTGTCTATTATGTCTCATTGCAGCCTGAGACCTTTTAAAGTGCCTAATACAGGGTGGAAATTTAATAAATAACTCCTGAATAAATGAATGAACACTTGTGCACACTCCCAGATGTTGGGACTTGGCATGTATTGACCATCGATTCAATATACACATTTATTTATTGCACTGCATACATGATATTGCACTATCTACATACAATCTTCCTAACAACCACATGAAGGAGGCTCAATTAGTAACATTATTTTAGAAATGTGGAAATAACTTTGAGAGGTAAGTAACACAGTCAAATCCACATAATTAGTAATTGACAGTTGAACCAAAGGACTTGAGCTAAGCTTGCTAAAGCTACAAGATCCATGCTTTTAACTATTGTAATATTCTAATTTTCAAAAATGTCCAGAAGGTTAATTGCATTTTTCCTCTTTTGCAAAACAACTTATTAAGTTACTTGAGTTTATAGCAGAGTTTGGACTTGAGACCATCAGTCTGTTGCCAAATATTCACCCACTGCTTCCACCTCACCTTTACCTTCTGTGAACCTACTTCTTCAATGTGAATACCCTGCTCAGAGAGGGCTGCTCTTCAATATCCAAATGATGCCATTCTCATTCCTAACTCTATGGCCTGGTATATGGCCTTTTATTAGTTTCCAGTTGCCACTATGATACGTTACCACAAACTTAGTGGCTTAAAGCAACACAAATTTATTGTTTCAAAGTTCTAGGTGTGAGAAGTCTAAAATCAGTCTCACTGGGCCAAAAAGATGCTAACAGGCTTTTTCCTTCTGAAGGCTCTAGAGGAGAATTCATTTCCTTGCCTTTGCCAATTTCTAGGAGTCATATGCATTTCTTGGCTAGTGCCCCCTTTGTCCATCTTCAAAGGCGGCTGCACAGTGTTGTCGCCTTCTGTTAACAGACTCTGCCCCTGAAATCACATCATTTCCTTGGACTGACTCCCCTGCCTCCAGTTTCTAAGGAGACTTGTGACTACATTGGACCCACCCAGATAATTTATGATAATCTCCCTATCTCAAGATCCTTAATTTAATTATGTCTGCAAAGTCTTTTTGGCCATATACGGTCACATCCACAGTTTGGGAATTAGGACGTTGACATCTTTGGGGAGCCATCATTCAGCCACTACAGACCTGCATATGGTCTCATTTTGTTCCTTTGACTTCCCCAGGCAACCATACTTCAATTTACCTAAAGGACATCCATCTACTCACTTCTGAAACTGGATTAATAATATAGCCAGCATTAAAAAATGAAGAGCCATGGTTCAGATGTTTTTCAGTATCATTTATGCTTGGTGAATTTTGGAAGCCACATCAATATTGTTCAACTAGAGACTATGTAATGGTTGTTGAAATAATTATGAAAATCGTGACAGAACATGAAGACGCTTATATTTTCAGTAAAGAAAGCAGGACACAAAATACTATCATCAGCCTTGTAATATTTATGTATTTGAATATGGCTAGAAGAAAATGAAATGTGATTTAATTTGTGGGAAATTATCAGCATTTTTATTTAAATTTTGCTGTACTATTATGTTATTTTCAGTTTCCCAACTCTTCCGTGTGACTTTCTAGTAAACATCAGCCTTCACTGATACTCTGTCTTCTCTAAACTATGCTTTATAAAGTATATCACAAAATTTATCTCACTTACAGTTTTTCATTCAGGAATCATTTCTGCCCAACAGAGTGTATCTCCTGGATTCTCAAGCCACCTAGCATGTAACTGATTATTTGATGAAAGATCTATAAACTATATTAAGTTCAACATATATTTGTGGAATGTTATATGCAGTGTCCTACTTTTCCTGGACTAGAACAATTTATGCCTACCTTCTTGTAGGAATTACTAAGAGTACCTCTTTCACTCCAAAAAGTATTCGGGCTGGGCGAGGTGGCTCATGCCTGTAATCCCAGCACTTTGGGAGGCCGAGGCGGGTGGATCACCTGAGGTCAGGAATTTGAGACCAGCCTGGCCAGCATGGTGCCACTTCGTCTCTACTAAGACAAAAGAACTAGCCAGGCATGGTTGTAGTCCCAGCTACTTGGGAAGCTGAGGCAGGAAAATTGCTTGAACCTGGGAGGCGGAGGGTGCAGTGAGCCGAGATCACGCCATTGCACTCCAGCCTGGGTGACAGAGTGAGACTACATCTCAAAAAAAGAAAAAAAAAAAAGTATTCTGGTTTGAAAGATAAATTATTTAATTTTCCTAAATATATACCAAGTATTGTGGGTTGATCTCAGTGATAACTGTAAACCTTGCTTCCTAATCTTAACGAGTGAGCATTAAATAATTTGATACATAGTGTGGTAAGCAGATTAATGGCGCCCTCAAACATATCCACATTCTAATCCCGTGGAGCCTGTGAATATATTATACTATATAGCATAGAGGCATTAAGGTTGTAGATGAAATTAAGGTTCCTAATCAGTTGACCTTAAAATAGGAAGTTTACCTTGGATTATCCAGGTAGGTCCAATGTAATAGTTACAAGAGTTCTTAAAGGGGAAAGAGGGAAGTAGAAGGGAAAGGTGACCATGGAAGAAAGACACAGAGAGATGCAACAGTGCTGGCTTTGAAGATGGAGTAGGACACCACAAGTCAGAAATAACAGGTGATATCAAGAAACTGGTGAATGTAAGAGGGCAGAGCCTTTCCTAGAGCCTCCAGAAGGAATGTAGCCCTGCTAACACCTTGATTTTAACCCTGTGATGTCCATGATAAACCTCTGATCTCCGGAATGGTAAGATAATACTTTTGCACTGTTTTAAGCAACTACATTTGGTGTAATTTGTGGCAGCAGCAATGGAAAATTAATCCAGAGTTACAGTTTTGCCTTGACCGTAATACAGGCAAGTAGAAGTGGATGAGTCCTAGGCAGAAGAATCCTAGGACTTGTGATGGTACCCAATGCCCTGAGGGTGAGCCCAGAGCAGAGTGCAAGATAGAGGTGCAGCCCAGCAGTAAGACAGAATGAGTGGGTTTGGCTCATGTGCCAGGTTAAGCCAGAAGAGGGTACATATCCCTTTTTTTTTTCTTTGGGTCATCACCTTCATTATTTTTCAATTACAATGTGGTCAATCAATTTTCAAAAATTGCTTTCTAGTCCAACAAGATGATTGACAATGGTGACCTACTCTTCCGGTTATCCCAGAACTAAAAAATTTCCTGGGATTAGGGACTTTCAGCACTAAAACCAGGGCAGTCCCAGGGAAACTGGAATTGTTGGTTACCCTAAACATGGCATCATACGTTATTCATTCCAAAAGCGATTCTTAAGTGAGAATGTTTAGTATAAACAGCAATAAAAAGAAAATACAAATAAGCAAAACTAATCTTTGATTATTATAGCTTTAAAACTTTGGCCTAGGACATTATAATATAAATAAGATACTCTTAGACATCCCTATTTAAAAATAATCTATTTAAGCTCAATTTTGAGAAAGTACTACATTTAAATTTTTTGTAGGCTGCCTTATTCTAATAAAGAACACAAGAATAAAATGAGCCAAATCAGTTTTTTACTCATGATGTTATGGAATTGTATAATGGAAGTGACTCTCTATTTGTGAAAACACATTTCTGAGAGATCCTCCTCTCTGTGGGATGACTCAGAGACCTTAGCCAGGAACAGGGAGAGTCTGAGTGGGTGAGGCTTTCACCCTCCATTCCTGTTAGAACCAGCAGAATCTACAGTCATGTCATTTGCAGAGGGTTCTTTGGTAGAAATATAATAAAGACCACTGTTTTCAATCAAAACAAATAAAGGCCCAAGAAGGAAGTGATTTGTCCAAAGTCACTTAGCAACTCACAACTTAAGCTCCTGGCTAGACTTAGTTGCCTTTCTTCATTCACCTATAATCACCATAGGAATACATGGAAATGTAGTTCTTTTGTAATTATATCTTGTCGGATGTCTGAAGAGTGAAAATATACCAACCTTTTAATGACACAGCAAGTTGGAAGGTCCACATGGTTTGCTGCTACACAAAATCATAACATTAAGTGTTGGCACCAGAAAGGATCATTTATCAATTCTCTCCTTCTACAACTGTAGTCCAGGGAGGTTAAATGAGGTTTGTTGAGATCATCCCACTAAGGGCAGCATCAGCACTGGAATTCTAGGGGAAATTCGTTATATCATTCGACTTCCCTTTGCTGTCACTTGTAGTTATTGTTCCTTTGGTTTCTTTAATGAATATTTCTACTCAAGTCCAGCCTTTTCTTTAAATTCTAAGTATACTTAACATTGCCAGGATATAATATGAAAGTAGTAAAGCTTTAATTGCTAAATCATTGAGAACTGAGGAGGGGAAAATAAAGACTAGATTTTCTTACCAAGTCAAGTCAACATTTAATTGTTGTCTAAGCCATCCGAGAGTTTTAGAAAGAACTTAAAGGAAGGGTGCTGAACTATTTATTCTTCATCCTACACCCACATTCTCATTGGACATTGACAGCTGTTAAAAATAAATAAGAATTTTAATAAGAAAAGAAAGGGACTTTTATATGGAAGGTCCTATGCTGGCTACTTTAAATACTATATCTCAATCAACACATACAGCACCCCATGGGATAGATTTTTTTACTAAGACCCTTTATGTTGCAAGTGACAAAGTCATAACACAAGCCATGTGCTATGGTTTCAATGTTCCCTCTAAACTCATGTTGAAACTTAATCCCCAATGTGGCAGTATTGAGAAGTAAGATCTTTAAGAGATGATTAGATCATAAGGACTCTGCCTTCATGAATGGATTAATCCACTTATGGATTAATGATTTAAAGCATTAGTGGATTAATGGAGTATCATGGTGGATTTATAAGAAGAAAAAGAGAACTGAGCATAGCATGTTAGCACACTCAGTCCCCTCACCATGTGATGCCCTGTGTCATCTCAGGACTGTCTACGGAGATACTACCAGCAAGAAGGCCCTCATCAAATGTGGCCCCTTGACCACATTTCTGCCTCCATAAGAAATAAATCCCTTTAACCTATAAACTACCTAGTTTCAGGTATTCTGAAATAAGCAACAGAAAATAGATGAAGACAGTGTTTTAAACATAAATGAGCATTGAGAGCCTCATATAGTTGAGAATTCTAGGAATGTTAATACCCCTTAAAGAATGTGAGTCTCAGAAACTTTTGTTTCTGTCTTCCTCAACCTCTCTTTCTCTTCATGATGTAGCATTATTCCTTATTTCTTACACTGCAGAATAGAATGGACAACTTGGAGTTACAGGCTTAAATCATCTGAAAAACTAGGAAGATGCTGGTTGGCCTGGCTTGAGCCATGTACCATCACTGTGAGAAACTTTGTGGCTAGGGAGATAGACACTAAGATTAATGAAATCTAAGCGGCATGAAAAATTCTATACCCCTGGACTAGAAGAGTATGGCAATAGACAGACCCTTGGAGACCATGTTAAGTGGGAAGGAGCACTTTCCCAAAGAAAGAGGAATTCTGTTAAAAAACAGAGGAGAGCTATTGAATCAGCAAATGTAAAGAAATGTTCATGAGGGTGTAATTATCTTTACGTAGGGATGAGTATATGAGATATCAGAAATATTTGATAGTGCTTTTAATGTTTGCACAACTAATAAATACATATTAGCCCAGAATATGAGCCCAATTTCATCTGGTTCCAATTTGTTCTCTTTCTGCTGTAAGCCTTGCACCACTGTGATATTCATAGACCCTTGTAAGGGATATAGCTTTTCTTTACAAACATTAGAATTATTATATTCAATTCAGTAACAGAACTCAAAATAGCACTACTGAATTGTAAAAATGATTATTTTGTTGGAGGGATATAAAATATCTGTTTCTCTGGAAATTGTTTAGCAAGGAGCATGACTTTTGTTGTGTTTTTAAATGTTTTCAAAGGGATTTCAAAATCTTTTAAGGCCATTAAAGGAGTATTTTAGTGGCTTGAAATGTCCTGAAGATTTTTCTCACCTACACAGCTCATCATCAAAAAATTACCATCTTAACTCTTCAAATGGAGTAAAACAAATCCTTCTCTCCTATAATGCTAATAGGATTTTTAATTGTTTCACCTTTATAGGATGCAGAAAATTTGGCTAAATAATAAAAATTCTAAAAACAAAAAAAAAAATCCTGACACCTTGGAATTCACTTTCAATAATTGATTCTAGAGAAATAATGACTTCATAAATTTGATTTCACAGGGATTCTTCAAAGTATTAGAACAGAGAAAATAGAAAACAATCCAAACATTAAGCAATAGAGGATTAGCTAAATGAATTATGACAATGATAATACGTAACATTTGTTGAGCCCATGCAATGAGTCAAATGTTGGGCACACTATTCATGGCACTTATTTATCTCATTCCATCCTCACAATAAAAAACATACAAATTAGGTGTTATTGCTATTATCTCTCTTGTCTTCTTCTGCAGTTAAAAACAATAAAACAAAACAGATACATAAACGACAGACTGTGACTTAAAGCGATAAAGCTAAATGCAAGAATATCTAGTTTTTAATTAGCAGAGTCCAGACTCAAATTTGGGTTTATCTGACTCCAAAATGCATGCATTTAAACACTATGGTATATCGTTATGTATTCGATCAATGACAAAATATCCCATGATTTACAACAATTGTGTAAATCTATAAGGCTGAAGAGGTATTTAGAAAAATTATTTGGTTAAAAAAAGAAGGTGGCAACTAAGAATGTATATTGGGACCCTCAGTTTTTTAATTAATATTTACTTGTCTGTATTTTTAGAAACCAACTTGTTAAGCATGTCTAACTTTATGTAAAACAGCCCATTTTTATACACCTTATTCTATTTTTTCTGTAATGAATTAATTGTTTACAATGAGAATAAAATACTTTTCTAATTATTAGAGTAAATTAACAATTTCCATTTTGGAAAAAAGAAAAGAATGAAATATTTTGTCTATCATTCATGATCTCCTTCTGTCTAACTTGATAATTCTTCTTGCCAGATACTGTAGTTATTGGAATTTAGATTGTTTGCTTGTTGTATCCAAACCTTCCCAACAAGAAATATTTGATACCTATGATAGTAGGCACCTGGCTAACAGGATAACAAAATAGAATTTCTAACATAGAGACTCTAGCTTATAATGGAATCATAATGCTTCCTCTTGGGAAACATCTGCAAGGGCTGAAAATAATTTTTAATGAGTTAATCAAATAGTTTTCAACCTCCAGAAAGATTCAAGATTCATTCAACTCTGGCAAGTGATTAGGCTTTCTGCTTAATCCCCTGCTGAATTCATATCTTGCTAATCCTGTGTTGTTCCCTGAATGATTGCAAAACTCTGAATCACTAATGATCCAATATAAAAAATAATGATTATTCTTCCCTTGACCAAGAGTACTTTTCAGAACCTGCAGAATATCTCTGCATTTTAAAGATGCAGGGAAACTATAACATGAAGATTATTTTAAAAGAAAACAAATTCCTTTAATTAAATCATTTGCTAAATTATAAGACAATGTTAAAGGGTTTTTATGTTCCTCATGTCTCTAAAATTATAAATAGAAAGTTCTGAATTGTTTTCACCTCCTTCTTCCAATTGTGCTGTAGTCATTAGAAAGCCCAAACAAGGGTCAAAATCGCATCTGCATTCAACACTCTTCATCGACAGACACTTAATATATAGGAAACATGTTTTTGTCATGATGTAAAAAAGCTTTCAAACTCAGTGTCTAAATGAAGTACGGATCTTAGATTTAACAGTGACAGTTTACAACACCCATCCTCTATGACTTCAGACCATTTTTCTCCTTCCTGATCTTGCAAGTCCGCAGGGATTCTTGCCCGAAATCCTGGAATAACAAAATAGCTTTTAAAATGCTCCTGAGGTGTTTGGCCTACTTGTTAAATCTGCTGCCATCAATAGGTGACAAATGAAGAGGAGAATAAGGGCATTCATAACTCTTGAAGCTTGGGTCCTGACTATACATATTAAAGACAGAAAACTTCCCTTTCTTTTTGTGCTAACACCCATGCAATTCCCCAATATTGACAGGCATATCTTTTATTCTACAGAAATAGAAACCCACAGAATGAATCTTATTCTACTTTGAGCTTAATGGTCAAATTTGAGATACATTGATGTAGGAAAAGGAATACACAAAAGACTGAGTTGATAACTTCTGATAAGATGGAGGTAAGAACAGAGTTTAGGTCAACGTATCAAATCTTCAATAACTGAAAGGTTTCTAAGCACTCTTACTAATAAGTGATTTCCTGTCCACCAAATTTCCTCCCAACTCTTGACTTTCCTACCATAGACATTATTTTTCTTTATTATTTAGAAGTATGCTTACCTCACATATGCAACACTGAGAAAATCATTTCTTTGTGTTACAGTGTTTGTAATAAAACTATAGTATAATCAAATATACTATAATCACCTGAACTATTACCCGATGCTAGAGCTGTCAAAACCTATAAATACAACTAGCTTCTTCTAATAATTGAGAAATTGGAGGATTTAAACCAGTATCTACTAACCTTCAGTTCTCTCACCCTCTTTTTTCTTCCTCTTTGCCCAGCTGTTGCTAACAGCCAAAAGAGAGATAGATGTTACATATCAACTCATTAATTTGAAAATCAAGGTCTACATGGCAGTATACTAAATATAACTGGCACCCAATAAAGTCCAGTCTCTGTGTAAAGTCAATCTAAAGGAATAACAATCCTGTAAAATACTATAGCAGAAATAATTACAGTGTTTACTTGGTCTCTGGAGAAAATGCTAAAAAGTATAGGCTGGAGGAGAGTCATGGGCAGAATTAAGAGCAGTGGTTCTCAACCAGAAAAGTTTTGAATCCTGTGGGAACACGTGGCAATGACCGTAGGTTTTTGTTTTGTTTTGTTTTTGTTTTTGTTTCTGTTTCTGTTTTTGTTTTGGTTTCGGTTATTACTACTGGAGGGCTACTCCAGAAGTGGGAAGAGACCAGGGACAGGGATGCTGCTAAACACATAGAGTGTACAGGGCAGAACTACAACAAAGAATTTTCCAGTCCGAAATTTCAGAAGCGCTAAATTTGAGAAATCCTATTCTTAAGTGTTTTTCAAAAATCTTCCTGGTGTGGTGGCTCACACCTGTAATCTCAGTGCTTTGAGAGGCCAAGATAGGAAGACTGCTTGAGGCCAGGAGTTCGAGACCACTGGGCAACATGGTGAGACCTCATCTCTGCAAAAGATTTGCAAATTAGCTGGTTGTGGTGGCACATACCTGTATTTCAGCTACTTGGGAGGCTGAGGTAGGGGGACTGCTTGAGACAAGGGAGTTTGAGGCTGCAGTGAGCCATGGCTTCACCACTGGGCTCTAGCCTGGCTGACAGAAACCCTGTCTAAAAATAAATAAATAAATAAAAAGAAGAAGAAAAGGAATCTCCCCAGTTTCATATTCCAACTCCTGAGCATAGCATTAAAATTACAAACTAATTCCAGAATTTTTCAGTATATAGGAGAAAGGAGTTTTTCTTGTGTATTTTGCAGAAACTAAAATGTAAAAAGAAAGCAAGTGAGAGGAGGCAGGATTTTACACTAAATATAAAGATGAGATGCTGACAGCTGTGACCTATAAGAACAACTCCTAAAGCAACCCCTAACTGATTCAACTCCACAACCAGCCTCACTGAGGTTAGCATCAAAAATTATCATCTTTAGAAGTAAGAAACTCCTTGGTCCTGTATTCTCAAGTCATATGAAGATAGATAAATAAGGGAACTTTATGAGTTGATGCCAATGGACAGTTGAGGGAAGAAAGAAAACTTTAGTTTTAGAAAATAGATATGTGTTCTTCGCTGTCATCAGTTGCATTGCAATACAAAAACCTACAAAGCAAGTATCTTCAAATGTTTATGAAGCCTATGGTCCTCCCAGCAAGTAAGCATTTCACATGGCCATTTTAATATAGCAAATGTGCTATGGTGTGTTTGGCTTATCCAGCAAAATGATAGTACAGGGAGAAGAATATAAATGAGCCCACTGTCTTTAAATCTGCTCATCTTTTTGACATATAAGATTCTGGTTTGCACATGTATATTATACTGAAATAATTCTAGCAGTCAGGACTTCTGTTTCTTTTCTTATTATTCTTAGTAGAAAATGTATCATTGGAAGACTCTACAATAAATTATGAATTATTGAAATGTGAGTGTATAAGCACTATTCTAAGCCAGGTACAGAAACTTACTTTTGAAAGCTCTTCAGGAACAAATTTAATATTAGTTAGATAACAGAATGTATCTCATAAGCTATTAAACATATATTAAAGTATTTTTCAGAGATTAAAAATCATGTTTTTGAAAAAATTTTTAAAACATGGGAAAAAAGAAAGATGAAAAAATTATTTCATTATAATTTGATTAAAAATAAACATAACCATATATATGTTGAAAGATAACTTTTATAAAAACTAAAAACAGTAGTGGTTATCATGGTTGAATGATTATAAATAGTTCTTACTTTTTAAAAATTTGTATGTTTCCAAAATTTTCATCAATGAAAATATTTTACTGCTGAGAGAAAAAGAAATGTTTTATTTTTAAAAGAACCTACAGAGAACTTTTTTTAATCTAACACATTGCTAAAACCATTTCCATATCAGTTCTATCCACTCTTATTTTGGAAAACTGAGAGAAGAATGAATTTGTAGTAATCGAAGGCAGCAAACAACAAAATGTGGCCAAATCCATAAATCCCTTTACTTAGCAAAGCAATTCTTTGCAGCTGCAACAGTTGGAATCAATTACTGAAGATTTTCATGTTGTAATGTCAGCAGAGTCTCAACTGCTGGGGTTGGAGCTGGGGAAAAGTCACTTATATTGGGCACAGAGGCTAAAGAAAAGAGCAATTTGATCAGAAATGGCTTCATTTCACCAATTATTATGCTATTATCCTGTGCTTGAAGATAAACAGTTTAGGCGGGGTCATGATTTAGCAGTCTCTTAAGACCATACTGTTTAATTAGCATGGCTCTTAAAAAAACTGAGCTCAGCTCATTTCTCATTGGGTCTATAGGAAAAGAAGGCGTGTTTTTCTTTACTATAGGCATTTTTCTAGCTTTGTTAGCCTTGTGGTACACATAGTACAAAAGAGAGTTCATTTTTGACTAAGAAAACTCAATGGGCAGGGATTGGACCAAGGTAACAAAATCCCTGTAAGAGTTGAGAATAGCACACTTCTAATGTTCAAGATCCTCAGGCAACTCATACCCCATGTTTTACTTTTGCAAAACTTTATTTGCATTGTTTTTTGTTTCTTTGGTTTGTTGGTTGGATTTTTAGAGCAGCCTACACAGTTTATCAAATTTTTTTCATTGCAACAGTCTCCTGGGCATTTGAATTTTGAGAAATGTTGCTTTTAGTAGTAATTTTCTCATCATTCCTTGGACCTAGGGAAATAATTAGGTATGTAAAGCTTTACAAAGAAATGCTTATAAGGTACAAACCTGTATATGTACTAGGACAATCCCGAGGTCTCTTCTAACCTGCAAACTCTTATATCTAATGGTCTACTAGGAATCTCCACCTGAATGTCTCATACAATTCAGATTAGCAGGAGGCTAAACATTGAATTCTTGATCTACACTTCTAGCATTGTAGTCACTCTATAAAAGCAGGTATTCTCATTATCACTTAAGCAGGAAACTGTGAAGTTTTTGACAAGTCTTTTGTAAGCACCTAACATCCCAGTTATCTGCAAGTCTTTTTGATTCTACCTCAAGGATAGATCTAGGAGCTATCCATTCTCTCCATTTTCACTTTCAGCCTCAGTTCATGTCACCATTGCAGCCTCTCTAGCTGTCACACTTTTTCTCCCACTCCCATCATCCCCTTACAGCAGCCAGACTGCTTCTTATAAATCATAGCACAGATTCACCCTCTTTCTTCGCAACAGACTATCAATGTCTTTTCATTTCATGTAGACTAACACCCAGATTCTTTAACATATAACTGATGGTGATTTGACTTTTGCTGCTTCTTTAAATTACCTTCTGGCCAGTTTCCCCTCTATATGCCACACTCCAGTCACCCTGTGCTTTCATTTCCTCAAACACAGCAATGTTTTCTCTGGCATTAAAGCTGTTTTTTTAGGCAAGTTTATGCCATTAGTTTTTCCTGGTTAAACATTTGCTTATTCTTTAAATCAAGATCAAATTTTTTTTTCCCATAGCCCTGAGTGAAATAGTGAATATTTCTCCAAGTTGAGATTGGAGGTCTAACTTGGTGTGTAACTGGAGAGGAAGTCCTGCATACCAAAATCAGGCACTAAAATTTAGACTTGAAATCTCTCTTGCATTCCTGCATTAACTAACCTAGTTTCTACCACTTCGATACCAGAGATATGGCTCTGCTAAGTTCTTGGATTCACTACCCTAACAGAGTAGTTTAAATATGACTCCTTACATGTTAGTAATAATTTAAGACTTGTATTATACCTTGTATCAAATCTGGTAGCTCAATAAAAGTATAGACTTTGGATACAAAGTATGGGTTACTTTTATAGGGTTCTTATTTTTTCAAAAGTAGGGCAGAGTGTGGTTTTTATGGCTTAGCTACTACTTTTAAGCATAGAAACAAATATAAATTGTGCTTTAACACCTGTTAAAATCCAGGCCTTGATGCTCTCTAATGTATAATAGTATCTGCATCATAAGTCACCCTCACTGAAGAAGTTAGAGTTACACACCCTGAAGGCTTAGGCAGGCAGTGCCTATAGACACAAACATATTTTTATAGTGTGTTTCCCTTCTGTATTATTTCAACTCCTACACTACTTACATATTTATAGAAGCCTCTGGTGATTCTTAATGATGATGTTCAGTTTGGTTTCTTAATAATTTCCTTGGTTCTATGCTAACATTCCTGCTGTTGATTGTTCCCTTATTTTAATTATGCCACACTCTAAGCAGTGCTTCTGGGAGTGGGTTGAAGTTTTCACTGCAGTACATTATAGGTGAAAATAATTTTTAAAATCCCACTAGAGCAATAGTTTTTGCTTTGCACTTTGGCAGGGGTGGGTGGGTGCGTAGGGCCCTATCAATACTAGAAAAATCACATTCCTTGACTGTAGGAGCTGACAGCCACTTGTAGTGAGTTAGGAAATATAAATTATGGTGGCTAAAACCTATTGAACCCGTATTACATACAGACCAGATTAAGTAATATACATTCATTCTGTCACTTAATTATCACTGTAATAAGTTATTTGCCTATATTATGTGCATATGCATATGTTATTTGCATGCCCACTTGACACACATGAAAACAGAAGCCTAGAGAATTTCAGTACCATGTCCAAAGACATCCATAAGCAAGCAATGGCAAGAAACAAGGCCTCATCTGATGCTACAGACCATGCTTTTAACCACTCTGCTATGCTTGCTTTCAACCAAAAGCAACTTTTAATCCCATTGTAAAAGTAGAAAGAACACACACACACACACACACACACCTTTTACGTGCTTATAAGCATCAAGTTTTTTTTTAAGTAGTTAGCTGTTTATTAAAGAAGAGATGGTTGCAATGCTCAAGGTTGAAGATAAGTCATATCACTTGTTGCTAAAACTTGGCTGACATAACATATTGTCAAAAGAATGTAACTTTGGAATCAAGAGTACTGATTTTAAATGCTGAGATAACTGTGTATTCTCAATGAAATTAGGCAATTTATTAAACGCTCTGAATCTCAGTTCCTACATCTATAAATGGAAATAATAATACATGCATAAGAAATTTTAAGTGCTAAATTAAGAAATGCATAGAGGATGCCTGGACACAATCTCTGTCATACATTTTTCAAATCAATATTAGTCTCCTCTAGTTTCTAGTTCTATTATTATCTACAGAATAATAAACAAATGATTCTTTTTATTTTTTTCTCTTGTAACCATCACCAAGGACCACTAGATGCCCTTAGAGATAGCTGCCAATTACTTTACTGACTCCATTTCCTACTCAGTCAACTTTCAGCTTCACTGACCACCTGCTTGTTCTTTTACTGCACTAGAAACATTCAAGTTTTAGGGGCCTTTGCACTGGCGATTCCTTTTGCCTGGTGTTATATTCCTTAGACATCTGCTTGACTTTCTCCCGCATCATCTTAAAGTCTTTGTTCAATGTCACCTCTCAATGAGGGCAATGAGGGCATTTCTGACCATCTAATTAAGAATTGTACGTATGCACCCCTCACTCTCTCTGAATGCCTCCTGGGCTTGATTCTTCTTAATGAATTATGTGATTTAATTGTTTTATTTATTGTATGTCTTCCTCATCCACTGGAATATAAACTCTATGAGAATAGAAATGTTTGTTTTGTTCGCTGGTTTATTCCCTGTATCTTGGACAATAACTCGTATGTAATAGATGTTCAATAAATATTTATTAAATTTATGAATAATTTTGAATGAATATTTTCAATAAAATTAAGAAAGATCATTATGGAATGTGTTGAACTAAACACTTCATGGCATCAGATGTAAGACTGAAGTATCAGTATAATTGGAGAAATGTTATTCAGATACAGTATGTTTGACTGTTCATTATCTCCACGTTTTTATAAAGCCATTCTTTTTGAAGACTTCATTTTCTGGAGCTGCTTTAGGTCCATGGCAAAATTAAGAGAAATGTGCAAAGATTTATCATATACGTCCTTCCCCCACATATGCATAGCCTTCTTCATTAGCAACATCCTCCTAAGAGTAGTTCATTTCTTACAATGAATGAACCTACATTAACATATCATCATCACCCAAGGTCTATAGTTTATATTAGGGTTCACTCAGTGTAGTCATTCTACAGGTTTGGACAAACGTGTAATGCCATGTATACACCACTATAGCATCCTACAGAGTGTTTCAAATGCTGTGAAAATCCTCTGGGCTATGCTTTGTCCATCCTCTGTCCCCAATCCCTGGAAACCACTGATCTTTTTATTTCCTTTATAGTTTTGCCTTTTCTAAAAACGCATATAAATGGAATTATACATTATTATATGTATTCTTTTTGGATTTGCTTCTTTCCTTTTGTAATATGCATTTAACATTCCTTTATGTTTTTAATGGCTTTGTAGCTTATTTATTTTTAGCAATGACTATTTCATTGTCTATATATACAACAGTTTATCCATTCACATAATGCTTCAAAGCATCTTGTTTGTTTCCAAGTTGTGACAGTTATGAACAAAGCTTCTGTAAAGAATCCCATGCAAGTTTTTGTGTGGTCATAGGTTTTCTACTTTTTTGGATACACATTAAAAAGCATGATTGCTAGATATTATGCTAAGAGTATGTTCAGTTTTGTAAGAAACTTCCAAAGTGGCTGCACATTTTTGCATTGCCACTGGCAATGAATGAGTTTTCCTGTTCCTCCACATCCTCACCAGCGCTTGCTGTTGTCAGTGTTGTATATTTTGGCCATTTTAATAAGTATGTAGAAGAAATTTATTGTCTTCATTTGCAATTTATTAATGACATGTGATGTTGGACATCTTTTCATATGTTCATTTGCCATCTGTATATCTTCTTTGATGAAATGTCTGATCAAGACTTTTGCCCATTTTTTAATCAGGTTGTTCATTTTCTTACTGTTGAATTTTAAGAGATTTTCATATATTTTGGATGAGACTCCTTTATCAGATACGTCTTTTGCAAATATTTTCTTCCAGTCTGGCTTGTCCTTTCATTCTCTTGACAGTGTCTTTTGCAAATCAGAAGTTTGTTTGTATTTAATTTTAATAAAGTCATTTTTTCCTTTATGAATTTTGGCTTTGTTACTATAGCTAAAAAGTTGTTGCCACACTCAAGGTTATCTAGGTTTTCTTCTGTGTTATGTTCTAGAAATTTATGATTTTGTGTTTTAATATCTAGGACTATGATTCATTTTGAGTTAATTTTTATGAAACATGTAAAGTCTGTGTCTAGATTCACTTTTTGGAAATGTAGGTTCAGTTTTGACAGCCTATTTGTTGAAAAGCCTGTCTTTGCTCCATTGTACTGCTATTGTTTCTTCGTGAAAGATTACTTGGCTACATTTATGTGGGTCTATCTTTGGGCTCTCTATTCTGTTCCATTGCTCTATTTGTTAGTTCTTAAGTCAACATCACACTGTCATGATTTCTGTAGTTTTGTAACTAATCTGGAAGTTGGATAGTGTGAGTCCTCAAACTTTGTTCTTCTCCTTTACTATTGCATTATCTTATAGGTCTTTTGCCTGTTCATACAAACTTTAGAATTAGATTGTCAATGTCCACAAAATAACTTGCTGAGCTTTAAGATCAGGCCAAATCTATAGATTAATTTGTGAAGGACTAATTAATTTGTGAAGGCGTAACCCCCCGGGTTCACGCCATTCTCCTGCCTCAGCCTCCTCAGCAGCTGGGACTACAGGCGCACATCGCCAGGCCCAGCTAAATTTTTTTTTTGTATTTTTACTAGAGACAGGGTTTCACTGTGTTAGCCAGGATGGTCTCGATCTTCTGACCTTGTGATCCACCCGCCTTGACCTCCCAAAGTGCTGGGATTACAGGCATGAGCCACCACGCTCGGCCTATTGTGTTTTTAATTTCAAGTTCCTCTTGTTTATTGCTGGTATATAGGAAAGAGTTTTTTTTTAATATATATTAACCTTGTTTCCTGCAACCTTCCTATAGTCACTTATTTCTGGGAACGTTTCCATTAATTTTTTAGGATTTTGTAAATAAACAATCATGTCATCTGCAAGCAAAACTCATTTTGCTTTCTCCTTCCATATATGTATACATGTTCTTTTCTTGTCTTGTCTTATTGCATTACCCAGAACCTCTAGTGATATGTTCTAAAGGATCAGTGAGAGAGAATATACTTATCTTATTCCTGATCTTAGTGGGAAAGCTTCTAGTTTCTCACCATTAAGTATTATATTAGCTGTAGATTTTTGGTAGATAAATATTTATCAAGTTAAGAAAATTCTCTTCTATTTCTAGTTTACCTAGGATTTTTTAACATTATTATTAAATAATAAAATTATTATTAAAAAATTATTTGTATGTTGAAACAGCCTTTCATACCTAGGATAAATCTCACTTGTACATGGTGTATAATTATTTTTATACGTAATTGGGTTTGATTTGATAAAGTATTTTTGTTGTTGTTTTTGGATTTTTATATGTATGTTCATAAGAGATTGGTCTATAGATTTCTTTTCTTGTAATATACTTGTTTAGTTTGGTATTAGAATAATTCTGGTCCATGGAAGAAGTTAGACAGTATGCCTGCTTCTTCTGTCTTATGAAAGAGATTGTAGATTGTAAAGAACTCATACCATTTATTCTTTAAATGCTTGGTAAAACTCAACAGTGAACTGATTTAAGCCTGATGATTTATATTTGGGGAAGTTATTAATTATTGATTCAGCTTATTTCAGAGATATAGGCCCATTCAAATTGTCTAATTCTTCTTGTGTGAGTTTTACCAGATTGTGTCTTTCAAGAAAACAGTCCATTTCATTTAGATGATCAAATATGTGGGCATAAGAGTTGTTCTTAATAATCCTTAATTTACACTCTCAATGTCCCTTGGATCTGTAGTGATGTCATATCCTCTCTTTCATTTCTGATATTAGTAATTATGTCCTCTATATTTTATTTTTCTTAGCCTGACTAGAGCCTTATAGATTTTATTGATCTTTTTAAGAACCAGCTGTTGGTTTTATTAATTTTCTCTATTGCTTCCCTGTTTTCAATTTCATTGATGTATGCTTAAATTTTTATCTTTTCTTGTGCTTACTTTAAATTTAATTTGTCTTTTTCTACTTCCTTAAGATTAAAACTTACATTACTGACTTTAGAACACCCTTCTTTTCTAATATACATGTTTAATGCCATATATTTTCCTTTAAGTGCTCCATTTACTGCATTCCACATATTTTGGTAAGTTGTATTTTCATTCCCATTTAGTTCCAAATATTTTCATTGTTCTTAATATTTGTTCTTTGACCTATATTTTATTTAGAGGTAATTGTTTAATATTCAAATATTTTGAAATTTTCCAGCTATTTTTCATTTAATGATTTCTAACTTAATTCCACTGTGATGTGAAAGCAGACCTGGTATGATTTTTATTTCTTTAGATTTGTTAAGTTGTGTTTTATATCACAGAATATGGTGTATCTTGATGAATGTTCCATGTAAGCTTAAGAAGAATGTATGTTCTATGTATTTCATCTGACAAAATACTCTGTAGATATTAATTATATTCAGTATGGTGCTGTTGAGCTCTAATATGTTCTTACTGATTCTCTGTCTGCTGGATACATCCACTTCTTTTAGAGAGCTATTAAAGTCTCAAACAATAATAACAAATTCATCTATTTCTTCTTGCAGTTCTACCAGTTTTTGCCTCATATAATTTGAAAATTTTATTTTCAGTGCATACATATTATTAGAACAAGAAAATAAAAATGTTTATTTTACTTTCACTTTTTCTATCTTTGATGCTCTTCCTTTCTCTAGGAAGACTCATGTTTCTGACCTATATTATTTTCCTTCTTTATAAACAAACTGACAACAAATTCTCTCAATTGTTATTTGTTCTAGAAAGTATTTCTTCTTCATGTTGAAGGATAATTTCTCAGGGTACAGAATTCTACTTGGTGTTATTTTTTCCTCACAAGATTTTAAATATTTCACTCCACTCTGTGTTTGCATGGTTTCTCAGGTGACATCAAATGTAATTTTTATCTTTGTCCTCTATGGATATGTTTTCCTCTACCTTCTTTCAGAATTTTTTTTTAAATATTATTTTCTATTTTTAAACCTTCTTTTATCTCTCTTTTTCTCAATCACCTCAGCTTTATTAACATATAATAAATAGTGTATGTATGTATAATGTACAACATGATGTTTTGATACATGAATACATGATGAAATTGTTAAATCGATCTAGTTAACATATCCATAACATCACTTACTGATATGGTTTCGCTCTGTGTCCCCATGCAGATCTCACCTTGAACTGGGTTCCTATAATCCCCAAGTGTCATGGGAGGGACGCAGTGGGAGGTAATTTAATAATGGGGCTGGTTATCCTCATGTTGTTCCTGTGATAGTGGATGAGTTCTCACAAGATCTGATGGTTTTATAAGGGACTTTCCCCCCTTTTGCTCAGCACTTCTCCTTCCTGCTGCTATGTGAAGAAGAGTGTATTTTCTTCCCCTTCTGCCATGATTGTAAGTTTTCTAAGGCCTCCTCAGCTATGTCGAACTGTAAGTCAATTAAACCTCTTTCCTTTATAAATTACCCAGTCTTGGACAGTTATTTATAGTAGTGTGAGAACAGACTAACACAATAAATTGGTACCAGGTAGTGTGGTGCTGCTGTAAAGATACTTGAAAACGTGGAAGTGACTTTGGGACTGGGTAACGGGCAGAGGTTGAAACAGTTTGGAGGGCTTAGAAGAAGACAAAAAAATGTGGGAAAGTTTGGAACTTTCTAGAGACTTGAATGGCTTTGACCAAAAAGCTAATAGTGATATGGACAATGAAGTCCAGGCTGAGGTGGTCTCCAATAGAGATGAGGAACTTGTTGGGAACTGTAATAAAGGTGACTCTTGCTATGTTACATCAAAGTGACTGGCAGCATTTTGCCTCTGGCCTGGAGATTTGTGGAACTTTGAAATTGAGAGATGATTTAGAGTATCTAGTGGAAAAAAATTCTAAGCAGTAAAGCATTCAAGAGATGACTCAGGTGCTGTTAAAAACATTCAGTTTTATGTATTCACAAAGATATGATTTGGAATTGGAACTTATGTTTAAAAGAGAATCAGCATAAAAATTCACAAAGTTTGCAGCCAGTAGAAGTTAAAGCCAGCTGCAGAAATTTGCATAAGTAATGAGGAGCCAAATGTTAATTGCCAAGACAATGGGAAAAATATCTCCAGGGCATGTCAGAGGTCTTTACGGCAGCCCCTCCTATCACAGGCCCAGAGGCCTAAGAAGATAAAATAGTTTTGCAGGCCATGCCCAGGGCCTTGCTGCTTTGCACAGTCTTGGGACTTGGTACCCTGTGTCCCAGTTGTGGCTAAGAGGCCAACGTACAGCTCAGGCCATTGCTTTAGAGGTTGCAAGCTCCAAGCTTTGGCAGCTTACACATGGTGTTGGGCCTGTGGGTGCACAGAAGTCAAGAATTAAGGTTTGGGAACCTCTGCCTAGATTTCGTAGGATGTTACGGAAATACCTAGATTCCCAGGCAGAGGTGTGCTGCTGTAGTGAAGCCCTCATGGAGAATGTCTGCCAGGGCAATGCAGAAGGGAAATGTGGGGTTGGAGCTCCCACACAGAGTCCTCATTGGGGCACTGCCTAGTGGAGCTGTGAGAAGAGGGCCACTGTCCTCCAGACCCCAGAATGGTAGATCCACTGACAGCTTGCACCATGTTTCTGGAAAAGCTGCAGATACTCAACACTAGCCCATAAAAGCAACTGGGAGGGGGGCTATACCTGAAAATCCACAGGGGCAGAGCTGCTCAAGGCCACTGGAGCCCACTTCTTGCATCAGCATGCCCCAGATGTGAGACATGGAGTCAAAAGAGATCATTTTGGAACTTTAAGGTTTAATGACTATCCTATTGTATTTCAGACTTGCCTGGGGCCTGTAGCCCCTTTATTTTGGCCAATTTCTCCCATTTGGAATGGGTGTATTTACCCAATGCCTGTACCCCTTGTATCTAGAAGGTAACTAGCTTGCTTTTGATTTTACAGGCTCATAGGCAGAAGGGACTTACCTTGTCTCAGATGAGACTTTGGACTTTGGACTTTTGGGTTAATGGTAGACTGAGTTAAGACTTTAGGGGACTGTTGGAAGGGCATGATTGTGTTATGAAATGTGAGAAGGACATGAGATTTGGGAGGGGCCAGGGGCAGAATGATATAGTTGGCTCCATGTCCCCCCCCCAAATCTCACCTTGAATTGTCATTCCCATAATCCCCATGTGTCATGGGAGGGACCTGATGGGAAGTAATTTATTCATAGATGCAGTTACCCTCATGCTGTTTTCATAATAGTGAGTGAGTTCTCATGAGATCTGATGTTTTTATAAGGGTATCTTCTCCTTTTTTCTCAGCACTTCTCTTTATTGCTGCCATGTGAAAAAGGACATGATTGTAAGTTTCCTGAGGTCTCCACATCCATGCAGAACTGTGAGTCAATTACACCTCTTTCCTTTATAAATTACACAATCTCAGGCAGTTCTTTATAGCAGCATGAGAATGGACTAATACGCATACTTATCTTTTTTGTGTGGTGAGGACATTTAAATTTTAATATTTTAGCAAGTTTATACTTAGTAATATAAAACACAAGCTCAACTATAGTCACCCTGCTGTACACTAGATCTCCAGAGATTATTCATCCTGTTTTCCTGAAACTTTGTACCCTTTAACTGGCATCTCTCCAACCACTTCCCCAACCCCCGGCCTTTGGCAACTATCACTCTACTCTCTGTTTCTGTAAATTCAACATTTGTAGATTTCATATATAAGTAAATGCAGTATTTGTATTTCTTGCCTGGCTTATCTCAATAAGCATCATGTTCTCTAGGTTTATGCATGTTGTCACAATGACAGAATTTCCTTCTTTTATAAGTCTGAATAGCAACCCATTGTGTACCATTGTGTGTGTGTGTGTGTTTGTGTGTGTGTGTGTGTGTGTGTATGTGTATGTGCACTAATTATTTTTTATTTATTTGTCAATGGACATTTAACACTTAGGTTAATTCAATATCTTGCCTATTGTGAATAATGCTACAATGAACATAAAAGTGTAGAAATCTCTTCAACGTACTGATTTTATTTCCTTTGGATATATGCCCAGATGTGGGATTGCTGTATCATACAGTAGTTCCATTTGTAATATTTTGAGAAGCTTCCATACAGTTTTCTACATTGGCTTTACTAATTTACGTCCTCACCAATGAACAGTGCAGAAAATTCCCTTTTCTCCACAGCCTTGCCAACACTTATCTTTCATTGTTTTGCTAATAGCCATTCTAACACGTATATGGTAATATCTCATTGTAGTTTTAATTTCTATTTCCTTGATGATTTGTGACATTGAGCATTGTTTCATATACCTATTGGCCATTTGGATGTCTACCTTTGAGAACTGTCTATTCAAATCCTTTGCCCTTTTTTTAATTGAATTATTTGTTTTATCTCCAATTTTCTATGTTTGAAAATACTGAACCTAGCTACAGTTTTTTTGGCATTTGTCCTGCTTGATGTTGTCTGAGTTTCCTCCACCTATGATTTTGTGTCTGACATTAATTTGAGGCAATTCTCAGTTATAGCGTTTGAAATACTTTTTCTCTTTCTTTTTCTTATCCTTCTTGTATCTCGTTGTGAATGTGTTACACCTTCTGTAGTTGTCCTGCAGTTCCTGGATATTCTAATTCATTTGTTTTCAGTCTTGTCTCGTTATTTATTTATTTATTTATTTTTATTATACTTTAAGTTTTAGGATACATGTGCACAACGTGCAGGTTTGTTACATATGTATATATGTGCCATGTTGGTGTGGTGCACCCATTCACTCGTCATTTACAGTAGGTATATCTCCTAATGCTGTCCCTCTTGTCTCATTATTATAAAGATTCATGCACGTGTATGTTCATTGCTATACTATTCACAATAGCAAAGACATGGAATCAACCTAAATGTCCTTCAATGATAGACTGGATAAAGAAAATGTGGTACATATACACCATGGAATAGTATGCAGCCATAAAAATGAATGAGATCATGTCCTTTGCAGGGACACAGGTGGAGTTAGAAGCCATTATCCTCAGCAAACTGATGCAAGAGCAGAAATCCAAACACCGCATGTTCTCACTTGTAAGTGGGAGCTGAATGATGAGAACACATGGACACACTAGGGAGAACAACACACACTAAGACTTGTCAGAGGTGGGATGGTGGAAGGGAAGGCATCAGGAAGATTAGCTAACAGATGCTGGGCTTAATACCTAGGTGATGGGATGATCTGTGCAGCAAACCATCATGGCACACATTTATCTATGTAAGAAACCTGCATGTCCTTCACATGTACCCCTGAACTTAAAATAAAAGATGAAGAAAAAAAATCCCCCCAAATCTAAAAACCAATACTACTACAACTCATAGGATATTTTAGCAAGGTCACAAAATTTAAGATCAATTTGTTTTTTAGTTATCAGCAATAAAACAATTGGAAACTTAAATTTTTAAAAAGTAGTGCCATTTACAATACCAAAAAATATAAAAGTTATTTATAAATCTGGTAAAATATTTGTAAGATCTGTACACTGCTAACTACAAAACACCATTGAATGAAATCAGTTTGGGAAATTTCTATTGATGTAATCTCAAGCTCAAATATTATTTTCTCAGCCATGTCCAGTTTACTAACAAGCTCATCAAAGACATTTTTCGTTTTGTTAGTGTTTTTGTCTGGCATTTATTTTTGGTCCTTTCTTAGTATTTCCATCTCTCTGCTCACAATACCTCTCTGTTCCTGCATGTTGTCTCCTTTACATATTAGGCCCTTAGCATATTAATCATTGTTGCTTTAATTCCTAGTCTGATATTCCAACATTCCTGTCATGTCTGCTTCTAATGCTTTCTCTGTTTGTTCCAAGGTATACCTTTCAATATGTCTTGTAATTTTCCTTAATAGCTTGACAGGATGTACTGGGTAAAAAGAACTGCTGTAAATAGGCATTTAGTCATGTGGTTGCAAGGTGTTGAGGGAAGGGAAGAGTTCTGAAGTCCTATGACTAGGTCTTAGTGAACCTATGCCTCTGGACTGTGAAATTCACAAGTATTTCTCAGTCCTCCCAACCTCTTAGGTGGGACAACATGATGAGAGTGGACTAGAGTTGGGTATTCGTTTTCCTCTGGTCAGTTAGGCTCTGATAAAATCCTGGCATGATAGGCTTTGGTTAAATAGTTTGTCCTGAGAGCCAGCCTTGTTAAGAAGAAAAGAGTGCTCTGGCGTATTTCAAAATGTGTCCTTTCCTCTCCAGCTGCCAGAAGCACGTGGAGATTTTCTTCTGATATTTGCTATGAGAACCTGGTCAAGCTCCAGAGGGTAAAATTTACAAAAGTCTGGAGGGCTGCTAAGACTGAGTCCCTATGGAGTTTTTAACTCTCTGACTTGTCCACACTGAGCCTCCAGCAATTTGTTCAGGTTTTTCTACCTCATTTCTAGTTCTCATGGTGGTTTCTTTAGTCACTTTGTACAATGGTATTTTCTTACGACTGAGACCTCTTAGCACACTAAGAAGGCCCTAATATGCTACATAAAGAAATAAAAAGAAATAAAGAGTAGATGTGGATGTGTTCATGTCAGCCTAACATGAAGTTTCTCTGAAACAGAACATCCAAGGAGGTGAAATTTAATAGGCTTCCCAAAGCTATAACCAGTATCCAGAACATGCCAAGATGAGACAAGCAGAAGGCAGATGACTAGACATGGGGAGAAATTTGAGAAAAAAAAAAAAAAAAAAAAAAAAAGCCTTGCCCACAGGTTTGTATTCATGCAAAGCTTTAATACTCTTGTCATCAACAGCATAGAGGGATGCAAGTAAATACACAGGATACTATAGGGATATTTGCATCTTTATATGAACAATTTTTTAATGATGTCACATAGAAATGTTAACTAATTTTATTTTTAATTAGTTGTAGGGTGTAGAAGAATTAAAAATGGTTATATTTAGAACTCATTTAATTAAAATGGATAAACTATATTTCGAGTGCATAATATAGATAATCTCACTAAGTTCCACTCCTGGCTATACTGCTGATTTAATTAATAGTAAGCATTGCGGCATATTAATAAAAAGCAAAAGCAAAAACAAAAAAAAAAACACCTAACCTTTCCTTTTTTCCTTGATTGTAATTGCGAGCCATTCTGGGTTCCGGATAAGTGGGTAGTTGATATTAAAGGCAGGAAATGTTTATTATTCAATGCAGTAGGCTGCAGTGACATTTCTTATCATTTCAGCATAACTGTGCCAGAGGGTCTGTAAATAGTCTTTGCCAAAGGCAATTTTACACATTCATAATATTCTTTGATGTCTGGGCTGGGCCTGGCTGACATAGCCCTGGAGGCTATCTTTCTGCTTCTCTGGCAGGCTGATAAACCAGTGTAAGGGATTATGGAGAAACAAAACAAACCCACAGAATTGAATTTAGTAATTTCTGAATTAAATTCACCTTAAGAAAGCCAATGTCTAGCAAGCTGTGGCCATTTAATAAGTGGTTATTGAGTGAGGGGAGGACAAATCATATCAAGGTTATGGGGCATAAATAATCTGAAACAGGAAATTTTACGTTCAGGAAGCATTCTGTGCAGTTGGGACTTCTTACTTCTGCACAGGAAAGAAGAGATGGGAAACGTGAAGTTCTCATTCTCAGAAATATGAATAACATTTAATAATGCATTGACATTTATTGAACTCTTATTCTATTCACTGGTGAAAGCACGTTTTGTGTATTTAATCTTTTAATCACAGCATCAGATCTCTAAGATAGGTGAGAAAACTGAGTCACAGACCGATTAACCAAGAGTGTGCAGCTAGTTAAGTGGTGGAACATTAAAAACAAAAACAAAACCAATGAACACATTTCCTATCATTTATCAATAACTATCCATAAAATTATCCTGTGCTTTTCTTCCTAAAATATTTACTTTTCTGAAATTATCATATTAATATATTTAAATTTTTATTTCTTCTTATATTTATTACTTGTTTCTGTCTAGTAAAATATAAATTTCATGACAAAAGGACTTTGTCTTATTTTCTGCTTTGTCCACCACACCAGGACTACTCCCTGGCACAGAATAGGCAGTTGTTAAATGTTTATTGAATCCATTATTTAAAGACATAGCAATTTGTCTCAGAAAGTGTTCTTAGATGCAAAATGGGGCTCTGTCTTATGCTAATCATAAAATGGTGACAGATCCCATTTAATTTCCCAAATAGTGTCAAGATGTGAAACCTATATTGTACTCCAAATCAATGCCAGTGTTTTGATTTTCTTACTTTCAGAACAATCCTGGGTAGGAAAAGCAGCTTGCAGGCAGGTTTTCTAACATTCTGGCAGCGTGGAATGGTGGCAGAAAAGGGACTTTGAAGACAGCTATGGGTTTGATTGCCAGCTCAATCATTTCTTTGCATCGTGACTTTGGACAGGTTATGTTACAGTGTATCTTTCAGTTCTCATTTTGTGTGTGTGTGTCATGGGAACTTCAGAAATTTTACCTTTCCCATTCTGGCAAACTAACCAAGAAGATGGTGATTTACAGTCTTATCTTCTAAAAAATATCTTATATCCCCCCACCGTGTTAATATTTGAAAGCTCCCCTTTTATTGTATGACTTCCATACTGAGATATTTAGTTTTGTATTTCATTTTCAGTGGCATTCAGTCTCTTCAATCTGGCATCCAATTCATTCTGACATTTTATGCCTCTTAATCTATTCAAACTTGCCTCCCTCTGCTTTAGGGGAAACACTCTTCTGCCTGTTTTATCCATAGCATGCACAAGCTTCTGTCTTCGGCAACAACCATCTTATTCCCACTTGCCTGTTTTACCTAACACTGCTCTCAAAGATACAACCTATATCCAGGCCCTTTATCCCTGTTGATTCCCTTAATATTCATTAGCATCTTCTCTATGAGTTTGTGGTACTAATTTTCTTTTCCCCAGTTACCAGTTTATAATGTTCTGCCTGCCTTTAAGTTAGTAGTGTTGCATGGATTCAATTTCCCTCTTGAACAAAATGTTCTGTACAAGTTGGGCATTTTTTCCCATTAGCTCTGTTCCAGTATTAGGCAGTCAACAGGTTATAGGTAAATAATACACTAATAGCTACCTATACTGCCTCATGCAATTCATTGTTTTTAAATAAAAAACAATTATTCATTGTTAGTGTGAAAGATGCTGTGATGTGGTATCTGGATCCTTATTCAGGAATGATGAACTTCTTCCCTCAGCTGCTGAGAATGCAGTGGACAAAGTGCTATGCCCTACTGTCCCATTTCAGAAAATGCCTCTATTGAAGAGAGCCACCTTGCTCAAGATTGGGTTCCCCTTCCTGAGTTGCCAGCATCCGTGACTAGTTTATAGGGCAGCATTAAAGTCCGGCACCTTTGCTCCACTCAGAACTCAGAAGCGTCATGCATTCTTCCAAGTCTTTTGTAGAGTTACTTATGACCTCCATTAAGACTTCCTGGCAGCCCAAGTTCTCCCTCTGTCCAACCCTGCTTCTTTCTTTTCTCTTCTGCAGATATGAATCCCAAGACCGTGCTCTACAAAACCTCCTACACTCTAAACTCCTCAGTCTGAATCTCAGAGAGTCCAACTGCTGACATTCACTAATCACACATTTTTTTTCTCCACTCATGAGGGGAGCAGAGGATATACATGAAATGAGAGGAGAGACAATCAAAAGTGACAACCAGCAGGACTTAGTGAACCTTATATTTGCACATCACGAAAAGTTTTTGTTGGTTTTGTTTTGCTTGTTTGTTGGATTGTCTTTGTCTAAAAGGGTATTGCTCTCCTTTTTTATTCTCATTATCCTTATAAATATAAATCATAGTTGTCTTTAAAAATTACAGATAGAAATACATGAAAGGAAATTAAAACGAGAATTGTAGTTGAATTGCATAGTTGGAATGAATGAAATGAGGAGACATTGCTAGGCCTTTCCTTATTACAAAAACCAATCTCCAGCCTCAAGGAGAGCTGATCATGTGATTTATTTTATTTAAGAATGAGTGTGGAATGTGTCAGAATGGCCTAAAAATGCTCTCTTATGTGTTTTTATAACCACATATTTGAACACTCAAAATTTCCTGAAGTAGAAGGAGTGTTATTGCCTTTATCTGAGACTTAAATCTGTAGTTTTAAAAAAAAGTACTCCAGTAGCATGCATCATTATATATTTGCCCTTTCTGTGAAATCAGCTGTATGCAGTCACTTTAGCAGCACTGACTAATTGGTTCAGTTCTGCCAATAAATGTATTGCCAATGATGCCGCTCTTTAGTTTTATAAACATTCAAAAATATTCCCTCAAATTGGCTAGCTCCCTAGCAACCATTTTTTGTAAAGATGAACACCTTCAGTGGTGAGAACAAGCATTTCAACCCCTCAAAAATAACAGCACAGATTTTTTTTTCTACTCACCCTCTGCAATGAATATTAAGCCTCTTTTTTCTTGAAAAGAAAGAACAAATCAAGCAGAGATTTTTCACACTCAACTTCATGTTAGTGGCAACGGTGAGTCAAAAAGTGCCTTTAGGGGCAGCCTTGATGCTTGTTTTTTTTTTTTTTTTTTTTTTCTGAGGAAAAACTGCATTAGACCAAAAAATACCCCTGAGATTTAATTATCTTTTTATATTATTTTTTACTACAAAGCCACTTACTCTTTTATTGTGTTGCTCTGTTGGAAAAAAAAATCTTTAGTAGATGTATTTTTTTTAATGGTAAAAGCAGTATAACTTCAAACAGAGTGCTCTGCCTTTCTTGTCTCTGACAAAAGGGGCTGAGTGCTTTGAATAGTTTCAAGGTGACATGAAGGTTTGGGACCAAAATTGGCATAGAAAAGGTCCAGGATAAGGAATGTGGGGTATCACCCCTTCAGATGTCATGTACTCTTGCCTATAGGCCTATTTTGGTTGCTGGTAACATAAAATGTATGCATTTAGGTTATTCAAAAGAGTGCTCTTCCATAAAAGTACAAGTTGTTTTCACAAACCTCAGATAGGAGAAGGATAAAAATGAACATCCAGAATAGGCTGATGCCAAGGACTCTGAAATGATAGGAAGCCAAGGAAGACCTCTTCTTAATCTCTCATCTGTCTTTGTCTTTGCACATCTGTTGTTGCTTTAATTTTTCTTTGTCTTACCAGGTTACTTTTTCCCTTTCTTCATGATGGGGCGTGACTACCAGCCAAAATAGAGTTATGGTGTGAATGTTTATGGCCCTCCAAAATTCTTATTTTGAAATTCTAGGTCAGGCACGGTGGCTCACGCCTATAATCCTACCACTTTGGGAGGCTGAGGTGGGCGGATCAGCTGAGGTCAGGAGTTCGAGACCAGCCTGGCCAACATGACGAAACCCCATCTCTACAAAAAATACAGAAATTAGCTGGGTGTGGTGGCAGGTGCCTATAATCCCAGCTACTCAGGAGGCTGAGGCAGGAGAATCACTTGAACCCGGGAGGCAGAGGCTGCAGTGAGCCAAGATCGTGCCGTTGTACTCTAGCCTAGGTGACAAGAACAAAAATCCATCTCAAAAAGAAAAAGAAAAATAAAAATTCTAACTCCCAAGGTGATACTATTAGGAGGCGGGGGCCTTTGACAAGTGATTAGGTCTCAAGGGCATAGCTCTGAAGACTTGGATTAGTGTTCCTACAGAAAAGTGCCCAGAGAACTGCCTTGACCCTACCACCATGTGAGGACACAGAAAGTGCCATCTGGGAAGGAGAAAGGGCCCCTCATTAGACACAAATTAATCTTAGACTTCCTACACTCCATAATTGTGAGAAATAAACTTTGGCTATTTAAAGTCACCCAGTTTATAGTATTTTGTTATAGTGGCCCAGACAAAGATAAGTAGGCTTATAACTTTAGCGCTCAGCCAGACTGACACTCTTATGTTTTCTCAATTTTAAATTTCCAGGAAAGACTTGTGATTAATCTATTCTGGAGTGTCTATTGTCTTTCGATTGTCTATAAATTGTGTCCAGGAGTGAAAGTTAAGCTGAAAAATGATGACAATTCCCATTTCAATTATGTGGCTAAGGCGAAGAAGAAAAATAAAGAAAAATAATCAGGACAATTATCTGAAAAGTAGGTGCTGGAAAGCAGGGAGTTAGAGACAAAGCAATAAGTACCCGTATGACAAATTGTGTCATGATTGTGAACTAATAGTCTGAAAAACAAGAAGCGCATAGGAAGTAATATTTTAGGCATAAGACTCAATAGTTAATTTCTTATGTCAAGCAATATATGCTTGAATGTGGCATTAGTCTATCTGGAAGAATATCCGGAGACTTATTTAATGTTAATTAATTAATTTCATCTTTCCTCTGTTTATTCATTCATTCACCCATTCATCTGTTCATTCATTCTGAAAGTCTTATGTATTTATTTATGTATTTATGTATGTATTTATTTATTTATTTATTTATTTATTTATTTATTTATTTATGGGATACAGAATTAGAAGCAGATAGGAGCATGGAAGCAAGAAATGTATCCAGGGTAAATCTCAAGGTTAGTGAATGATGTGGGCAGAGTATGCTAATTGCTAACACATAAATACACACACACACACACACACACACACACACACACACACACACAGAGACACTCTCTACAATGGTTTAAAATAAAAATCTCTTTATTCTTATCTATTAGAATCCTATTTAGATTGGGCATAGGAAGGAGTTTGGTTTCACACAGATACTGAATAACTTGGGCTTTTTCTATCAAATGATTCCTGCCATTCCTTAGACCCCAGTGCCATTCCTTACACCCCAGAGTGTTTTGCGGGATCCTCTGCATCTGGCCATCTGATGAATGATGAAAGAGAATGAAAGGATCTCCTGACAACTTTTAAAGCCAGGGTCTAAGATGGCATGCTTCACTTCTTCCCACATTCCATGGCTCAGTACTCTGTAACATAGAAGCACCTAAGCTTGCCTGGAGGTTACGGTATAAAACCTATGCAGACACTCACTCAGAAAGTAAAAAAGAGGAGTGCCGCCCTCAGACCCTGAGTGAGAGAAGCCCCTGCTGTGGGCCTATTCTTTTAGACAGATACTTTCAGTCTTTCTTTCAGATATACCATCCCCAACAAGAAATGAGAATATAAGGTTAAAGTCCAGGGATGCCTTGGATACTGAAATTTACTGGAAAAAAAAAAAAAAAAAAATGCTATTGTGATTATTTCCAGGTGCAGCTTGGTGCTCGTCCATAGGTTCATCTTCCAAAAAGGTCGAAGGTACCTCCTGTATATGAATTGCTCAGTCCCAAAGGTGTCCAAAGGCTGGATGTTTGTGAATAATTGGCACAAAACTTGCTTGAGCAGGCTGGATGTGCATGATGTAATTCATAGCGCAAGATGGAGCTGGAAGTGGAGTGAGAAGAGAAAGGCCACACTAGAGGAGTAGGGGCCTGGACTCAGGTCTTCCCCTGCTGCCATTTTCTAGTATGAACTCCAAGGAGCCTAAGCAATCTAAATTTAAATGTGTTTTTCCATGTTGCTATGAATGTATTGGACAATGTGGAAAGCTGGAATATATTTCATTTAGCAGGTTACCAGCTTGATTCACTATTCTTAAACACTGAGATGTGTTGTAGGCGGCCATCCACGGGTACCCTTGGCCTGGGCCCCCAAAATATTGGAGAAGCTCCTTGTGTTGAGCTCTAGCAGTGTCTGCCACAGTGGACAACCAGTGTGATTTTATGCTTCACCTTGCATGCTTCTAAGAGGAAGGGGAAACTTAAAATAGCTACCTTCTATTAGACAAAATACAAATTTAATTGCTATGTTTCATCAAGCCTGATTCAACTGACCATTTTGGCTTATGTTACCCTAAGCGCTAATAAACTCTAAAAAGCAACTAATTAAAAACCTCTGGTTTAATTTAATAATAAATACCTTTTTTGAACTCTTAGTACATGCTGGACACTATGCTAACAAATTACACTGTTCTATTTAATTTTAACAACTATATTAAGTGTTACTCCCATTTGACACATCAGAAAACATAAGCTGAGGAAAGAAGTGGCAAATCTAGAATTGGTATGTAGGGTTATCGTAATCAAAAGTTTGCATTCTTTTAAACAATGGTGCTCCACTGTCTTAG
Source organism: Homo sapiens (assembly GCF_000001405.40). Taxonomy (NCBI): domain Eukaryota; kingdom Metazoa; phylum Chordata; class Mammalia; order Primates; family Hominidae; genus Homo; species Homo sapiens. The sequence goes on along the minus strand of NC_000011.10, from coordinate 42,015,258 downwards.
GCTGGAATGTATCTCAGATAGCAGGAAGTCCAATGCTCTTTGTGTCCATTTTGAGTCCTGAATTATCTCTTTTATAGTCCTGCGTGACAAGTGGTTGACCTGCCTATGTACGGACACTTCCAGTGACAAGCTCTTTATATATTCATATATTAGGAAAATTAGCATATTATAGCAGCAATTTTTAAGTTATGAAATGTGATGCATTTATGTATATGTATCTTATCTGGATTATTTGCTAAATATCTGGATAGCCAGTGTTACCGGGTCGTGCACTTGAAAATCAAGTTGGGAAAAATAACTGTATTCAAAAGTTAAAGATTCCAATTTGCTGAGTTGTCTGTGTTTATTCTTCTTTTTTGTGTGAAGATGAAGGGATTAGGGAAATAGTTGAGAAAAGGGTGGCGATTTATTTTTTTTCTGACATGTGGCCTCAAACCCATCCTCCATGGAGATGTGTGTGTGTGTGTGTGTGTGTGTGTGTGTGTGTGTGTGTGTCTGCATACTACAATAAATAGCAGAATCCTCTAATTTATTATCCAGATTGAAAAACACCTGAGAATAAAAGTGGTTTTTATTGATAATTATGCATAAACTGAAATAGTCCCAGACAAATGGGGACCATATTCAACTTTGTCACAAATAAAAACAAATATATATATTTTTGACCAGAATGCATATTTATATGACATTCAAAGAAAGAAAGAATATACCGACAGAACACAGATTAGTAACTGCCAGAGGCTGAAGATGAATGAGGGGAGAACAAGGGAATTTTTGAAGATGATGAACTTGTTCTATACCTTGATCATGATGTCGGCTACATGACTGTATGTACTTGTCAGAGCTCCCAGAACCTTGCACCAAAAAGTGGATTTTACTTTATGAAAATTATACCTCGTTTTTTTTAAGTAGTGAGGCTAGGAGACCCTGGTGGAAACCTGAATTTAGAAGGAGTCATTTCTTTTGACTTTTGATTATAAAGAAAACATAAAAGAAGCACCTACCCTCTTAAGAAAGGACAAGAAACAGAAACAACAGAAACCAGCCATTAGATTCACTTCATGACAAACTTAAAGAAATGGTACCAATCTAGAATCATCCCAAATGAATAAAATCTAAAAAAATAGGGTCGTTTTCTTCCCCTATTCGCACACCTCGCATAGCAGCTAGGGAACACTTTGGACTAGAGAATCACTGGTGTTCTGCTTGGAGAAGCAGCAGAAATGAGGAAGTGCTCAGCAAGGAGTGACTTAGGTTCTGACAGAAGGTTAGTCCCTTGTAGGTGAATGCAGGAAACCCGGGACTAAATGGCAGGGGAAGTAGTGCTCAATAAACTACTCTGACAAAGAAGATTTGTTCATGAAAACACTTGAGACATCCCCTGAGTAATATCATGAGTATTTGGGGAAATTGTTTTTACAGATGACTAAATAAATGGGAACAAGAGATACGTAAACATGGGTTATTCATATTAATGTGACTGCATTGATACCATAGATGGTTGAGGTCAGCAAAGCTTGAGCTACGTAAATCTTAAAGTGTACCATCTAGGTGCATCTTAATTGCCTTGTAGGACATCTTCTTGACAGTTCATGTGATTTTCATGTTGGCAATATCACTACTCCCTAGGTCCTTAAAAAATACATGCATTTAATTAACATTAGCTCAATTTTGGTCTATGATGGCTTTATTCTACATCTTGTCCTAATTTTCCATTTCAAAAGATGTATGTATTTAATTTTCCCAGGGTAAACTGAGATCTCTGTGACCCATTATACTTCTAAAATTCAAGGATCCTAAAATTAAATTTGTATTTAAAAGCCCTAATGAACTTGGCACAATTATTGATATTAATAGAAGGCAATGCACATAGCATTCAGAAGGGCCTCCAATCTTGGCTCTATCCCTAACTGTGGGAGCTTAAATACCATTGCCACATGTGTGAAAAAGGAGAGAATTCATAGCACTTTCTCATAGGTATAGTGTTGCTGTGGGGAAAAATGTAGAGACAAAATGAGAAATCTCTTTGTAGCTCTTTACCAGCATGTAACAGAGTAAGCATTCGTTAAATGTCAACTGTATGGCGCAAGGCCTGAAATAAAGTTTCGATGTTACATGCTGCCTTGACATCTGAAACTAAGAGTCTCTCAAATGGCCTAACTGCAAGCTCTTCTCCTTAACTCTATTCCTGCAGATAAGGTTCCCTAACCAATCAACTTTCTTTATCACAGAGACGATGTGTAGTCTCTTTATCAACATAGATCATGTATAGACCATGTACAGTGGCTGCTTATCACTGAGTAGTGGGTTTTTCACTGCAGAATGATTCAAATAAGTCACTCACATCCTCTCATGGGAAGCAGGGGTCATCTCATCCCCTTGTTACTATAAAGTTTGCCTCCCACAGCCCCTGATTGTTCTCTGTGTTCCTGAGTGTAACTCCCTGTGTGTGGCCTTGTATGGCATATGGTGTCCAGCTTTCCTGGGCTATGAGTTTAAAAGACTAATAAACTATTCTCGATCTCATCAGTGTTGGGAGTCAGGTGGACAGCCCTCTCTCTAACAGGGCGAAAAGGAGGCAATCAAACAAGCTGTTTCTGAAGACAACTGCAAGTGGTAGTAATGTTAAGTAATAATACGATTCCTAGCTATGTGCCTACTCTAAAACCTGAATTGAGAAAAATAAGTACCCATAGAGACTGTAGCACTGAGACTGATTAGTAAAATTTCTTTTGTTTTTATGCCTCAAAACGTCACAATGCTATGATTTTTATTCCCTCCTACCCAGGAGATTAACAAAACACTGTGGTTTGCAGAAAACTATTTATAGCATAGAAACAAATGAGCAGATTGACTGAAGGAATTTTTACAGTCCTGAAGACTGTTGGGGGGAGCCTGACATAGAACTGTAGACCTCTCCCTAAATCTTGAAGACTTAGGGGTATATGTGGGAAAATGAGTATGTATATATAAGATACGTAGGGATTTTTGCACATTTACTACTTAAACTAAGCTCATGAGCTACTGAGTGGAGATTGAAACGGCAATAGTTGAAGAAGTCAAGGAAAGTGAGAGAGATAGTTGTTCTCCAATGACTACATACATAACCCACATATTACCAGGCCACACCTGCTACGAATGCTAATGATGCTGTACAATAAAACACATAAATCATGACATGACCCCTATTTGATTAACTCAGGTTAATGACATGACCCCTATTTGATTAACTGAAGTCCACCAAAAATCCCCAATGAATTGCCTTAAGGGTCTCCTGGGGGAATCCTCTATTATGTTACTCTTGCCTGATATCATTGCCTAACTTTGCTTGGCCATTTTGTATCTCATTGCTACCACTACTACTGTTGTTATCTATTATCTCATTTATGTTCATTCCCAAGTTGCTAATCTCTGATGTTTCCAACTTTTAATTGCGTGATGCTGAAGTAACCTACGTTCGCTGCAGTTTTCCTCTTATGGAGTCACGCTAACTACTGCAGAAAACTAAGGGTTTCTTTCCTCTTTCTCACCTTTTGCTTATGCCCATTATACAAACAGCACTTTCGCCTTCTCTTTCAGACCCCGCTGACCACAGGCCTGGTTCACTGCCCCTTGCCCTTTACTGTTTCTTCCTTTTAGGCAAGAATTGACCATCGCTCTCTTCTCACATTGACAAAAGCATCCTAAGCCAACCAAATTCTAAATGTCTATCCATTCATTTTACTAGATATACACAGATAGGTCTGAAACTTCAATTAGTTTCAGGCTAGGATCTCTAATATGTAAGATCTGAGAAGTGGCAGAGAGCTCTGCAGCCGGTGTGTTCATTCCCCCACTCATTCAGGGTCTCAGTAAACATATACTGAGTCTCTTCTTTGTAAGAAGCACTGTGTTAGACATTGGATCATGGTGGCAAAAAAATAAAAATTAAAATTAAAAAAAACAGGCCTGATACTTATCTATATGTGATTTGCAGTCTAGGGCAGTTGTTTTGTGAATAGCTGCATCATGATAAGGTAAAGCATTTGTCAAAAATGTAGAAATCTGGACCCACATTTGCTTACTGAATCGAAATCTCTCTAGCAGCACTTAGTGGGAAAGTTGGGTTCTTTTATTGAGGAAAAAAGGCTAAGTTAGAAAGCACCAGAGTTAGAATCATTACTGAAATGCTTGGACAGAAAAGCCAATTCAATGAGAGTCGACAGCAGACATGGGGGTGGTACTTGAAGAGGAGATTTGAATCAGCCAAGCATGTAAAGTCATAGACAGCTAATGGATGGGGCAGTTCCAGAATTTCCCAAAAGCCCTTTCAGAGATATGGTCTGATCTCAAAGTGGAGCAGGTCTTGTAGACTGGGCTGTTTTATTCCAATTACACAGTACCTGCATCTTAAGGAAAGGGCAGTGGGAAGGTGACTTGAGATCAGATCTGTCAAAGCACAGAGCACCAGTCCATTGATGGCTGCAGTCACTCTAATAGTCCCTCTAAGGTAGGAAGTCTACTGCTTTCTGATTAGGCCGTCGGAAGGAGTAGGGGCCCTAAGGAATGTACTCTAAGAGCCATGACTGATGCTTCTCCCTTCACCAGCTTGAAGCCCTGGTGCCTCTCAGGCAAGACGCCTGACTGATTTTTCTATCATTCTTTAATAGTTAATTCCCACCTTGCCAGTTAAAAGATTTCAGCAACTCCCTTAGGCCAGATAAATCCAAGTAAGTTTAAATTAGATGCCTCAGCAACATCAGTCATTCAAAAAGCTTCCAGAGAGAGCAAGCCCCACCATCTCCCTCACTATAGACAGAGGGTCTTGAATGAAACCCCTTACTGGGCTTTCTCCATGGCTCCGGGGCAGAATTGGATACATTTGTATTACACCTCCGTTGGACTTTTTTTTTTTTACAGGCCTTAGGAAGGATACATGTTACATTTACATGAAACCTCAACATTTCTCAACACTGCTGTAAAGTTCTGTTTTTAGCAGAATGCTGTTAACAATGCAAAAATCTGATCACTTTCCTCCTGGGCTAAAACACATTCAAGGACTCTCACCACCTACTGAATTGTGCCTTGCCTTCTTTTGCTACAGTACAGTCTACTACAATCTAGCCAGACACATGTTTTTCAGTATCGCCTCCACTTCATACCCCAAGCACTTTAATACTTTCAGCCAAACGGTTCCTTGTATTCTTTTCCAGGACAGACTTTCCTGAATATTGATCCATACCTGGGCTCACATCTGCCTTTCTATGGAGAATGCCTTCTGTGCTTCCAACTGTGCTTACTGAAATGTTGTCCATCCTTCAGAACTCTTCAAATACTACCTTCTCAATTATGCTTTTTCACACCAAATATGGATAAAATATCTCCAGTCTATAAAGTCTCATAAGACCCTGCACTTCCATTATCTAACCATAGGTATAGAAAATTTCAATTTGGCAAAGCCTTCCAGCTTGGTCCTAATAATAGTCATCTTGTATTGGTCATCTATGTCTGAATCAACGTCTGATGCATAAAAGCTTCTCAGTAATACACATCACATTTTATTGAATATGATTTATTTTCACTTCTCTCTTTTTGTGATCCTCATCCCCTTTTTTGCCTCTTTTGTCTGTTTTACATGCTGATAATCAAGCCCCCATTGGGGGTCAGTAAACAATGTCATCTTCGAACAAATTCCAAACCTTACTGTAAACTTCAGGTGAATAAAGTGTGCTTTTAGCTTGTGGGATTAAAGAATGTTTGTAAAGCACTTTGGAAAGGAAAAATCTCCCTGAACATATTAATTGCTATTATTAATGATTTACTTTCATGGAAAATGTCTTAGAGAACTAACGGCAACCAGAGATCCTGTGTGGCACACTCGGAAACTTGGAAAGTAGAAACTGGTATTGAAATTTTTAAATGGCAAAGTCTCCTTTGGTTCTGAGGTTATCCCTAAGGATAATGATTTTTCCTTGTAGAACTCTGGCCAAAGTGGCAGTGACATCTGCTTTGGGGAAGAGAAACAAATTATATTAAAAAGTTCGTATCTCGGTTTAATTTTGGCTTGCTTTCAAAAATATTAGAGCAATTAATTTAGATTTATGTTAGTGTTTTTTCTTTTTCCATGCTTACCTCCTTTTCATGCTTAATGAACATTTTTTTCTTTCTAAAGCCAATTAAAAAATTCACGATCATAAATGTATGATGATAAAAATCTTACCTCTATCTTGAGAACTTTTTGTAGCTTGCCTCAGGAGGACATTTTTTGAAACTGTGCAGCTAATGTAAATTTGCAAAATGCATAGCCTCTTGTGTCTTCCAGTGGAATCAGTGCTGAAACCGGGGTTGAAGGCTCTTATTTATCTCTGCGAAGGCAGTTAATCAGTAGGCATCCAGATAAAAGAAATGTGTCTGAAGGAAATCATGAAAACGTGCTTTCAAGTCCTTCAATATTTCTAACTCAAGCAATTTAAGCTGTTGAAAACACAACAGTAATCTTTCTTAAAATATGATAATTCCTGCCAGCATCTATTTCCCAGAAACTTAAGAGCATAAACAAATGAAAACATATTACTTTGAAGACAACCAGAATCCAAAACATAGAATTATAATAAAATTCCATTTTATTACTTTTCTAAATACACACGGTTGTATGTATTGCTTGTATAGAAAATATTTCTGATTCGAGATTCCAAGGGACCTGACAAATAAATAGATAACAGTCACCTATAATTAGGGCATTTTTAGGTAGCAGGTGTCTCCTAAATGCTAGATAATTTTTTATCCTTTCAAGCAGAAATTTTTAAGATAATATCAATTATTATAGTGTATATTGTATTAAAGTGCAAAAGTAAACTTCAGACCAGGGCCAATCCAATCAAATCCATTTTATATTTAGAAAGCTCAATCTAAACTAATTCATATGTTAACACTTATTTACATTAATTCATTAATTTATTTAGCAAACATACTCCAAGTAATGTGCTGAGTACTCAGTTTGTGAAAACAAAGACCGTATTATATTCAGCTGTCAAGAAGCTCAGCCTGTAACCTTAAACCTAATCTTAACCCTACCTATATCTTATCCCTATCACACATAAACTATAAATCACAACTCTTCATTATAAGGTCTATGGTAGAAGGAAGAACAGGATTCAAAGTGGGCCAAAGGAAGAAATGACCAAAGAAAACGAGTGGATTTTATTCACTGAAACAATAAACTTCAAACGAAAGTGAGCCAGCATCAGGGATGTTCAGAACAATTCACTGGGATACTAGAGGAAAATAGAGAACAGCTATACACATTTATTGTTATCTTGTATTATTTATTTTTGTTTGTGTACGATTTATAGCACACACAGTATACATAATACAGAGATATATCATTTATAATTAAGTAATAGACTCCTAGGAGCAATTACTCTTTATTTTTAACTTATGGTGTACACAACAAAAAAATCATAGACTATTGCCTGGTGAGGTGGCTCACACCTGTAATCCCAGCACTTTGGGAGGCCAAGGCGAGCAGATCACCTGAGGTCAGGAGTTCGAGACCAGCCTGGCCAACATGGTGAAACCCCATCTCTACTAAAAACACAAAAATTAGCCGGGCATGGTGGCAGGTGCCTGTAATTCCAGCTACTTGGGAGGTTGAGGCAGGAGAATCGCTTGAACCCAAGAGGCGGAGGTTGCAATGAGCTGAGACAGGGCTATCGTACTCCAGCCTGGGCAACAAGAGCAAAACTCCAAAAAAAAAAAAAAATCATAGACCACTTATCTTGGAATCATCAAGCAACCGATTGATTTTAAGATGGTAATAATGTAGATTTTCTATTTGAGGAAGATGAGTTGGTGACAATATGAAGGGTAAATGGAGTGGAGTGAACACTGGCAAACATAAAAGTGAAGGATGGTGCATTTCTGAAAGAAAGTAAGTAAAGTGAAAATGAAGAGTAGAAGACTGGCTTGAGATATGTCAAGGGAGGATGAATCAACAGGACTCAGCATAGTGCGGTCTATGAGGGGAAAGGGCACCTAGAAGAGGCCACCTTTCAGATTCTAGGTTTGGTGACAGAATTAATGGCACATCATTAATTGGAATATCTAACACAAGAAAGGATTGGGCTAATTTGCAATAAGAGGAAGCATGAGTTCAGTTTGGCATTTGAGTTGTAGATGGGGGAGGCATCTTTCTAAAGTAGAGATGTTCAGGTAGCAGTTGAATAATTAGCTCTTTTACTGAAGAAGGACCAGATGGTGATTCAGATTTATGGGTGCTTTTAAACATAGATGGTAGTGGAGTTGTTTATCTTTTAAATGAGGAGGCCAAATTTAGATTTCTTGGAAGCACTTAAAACCTTGTGCATAGATGGAATAAATAGTTGCTTCCATAGTCTCATTTCTTAGTGCTAGAAAATTCTTCCTGAAACAGATTATTTGTTACATAGGGCTTTATTTGCAGCCCCCAAAGATGGGAATCTTGGAGTACTTACAATGAATAGAATGAACGAGACTGTTCTAACATTACAATGGCTGCAGAGATCAAAACAGGGACATTAAGCTAAATAAAAGAATCCAGGCATGGAAAGACCAATACTGCATGATCCCACTTATATGTGGAATCTAAAAATGTTGAATTCATAGAAGTAGGAGTAGAATAGTGGTTACTAGAGACTGAGGATGGAGGTGGGAGGGTGATGGAATGGGGAGTGACTGGTCAAAGTGTACGGCATTTCAGCTAGACTGGAAGAGTAAGTTTTGAGACTCATTGTACAGTAGGGTGACTTTAGTCAAAAATAACATATTGTATATTTTAAAATAACTGAGAGTACATTTCAAATATATCATTACAAAAAATGTCCATGTAAGAGAAGTGATTGATGTGTTTAGCTTGATTGATTAGCTTGATATAATCACTCCACATTGTATATGTATAACAAAATATCACATTGTACTACATAAATTACATTATTATTTATCAATTTAAAATAATATTTTAAAATAGGGCCACATACAATCACAAAAAGACAGAATAGAGCCAAGGGCAGGATGAATTAAGCCTGAATTAAACTGGGGTCATAATAAAAATTTAGGGCCAAGACATGTAAGAGTTTTGTCTAAACAATGAGAAAAGGGACACACTTTGAACATAACCAAATGTCTTATTTCACTGCCTCTACTGCCCACATTTTGCAGATGGCCTGCTATAGGTGGACTTTAATTACTGTCGATATAATAAAAGTTGAAAGTGTCACATGCAGAAGATAATGACACAACACAAAATAGGCAGCCAATTTGCACTGATGATTATTAATTGATGGTCAGTGGATTTTGACCGGTAAGGTCAGGTCTCTTGGATTTTCTTCTTCTTGTTATTAAAGGGTAAATTAAGTGAGTACTACAGCAAATTCCAATTGCTTACTTTTTAAAATATTGAACAGTTAGGCTCCCATGCCTAATCACTATGAAAAGATGTATATAGTGACTCTTGGACCTGTGTGTGTGTGTGTGTGTGTATGTGTGTGTGAATTTATGTGATGTTAATTCATATGTGAATATTATGACTATAAATATACATATATCTTCTATTTTTCAGAAATATGAGATTTTAAAAACATACTAACATGTAGGTTTTATTCATGAAATATTTTTAATTTTTGTAACCCTTTCTCATTTTTAATTACTTTATAATATTCTGTATTACAGAGTTACTGTAATTTAACACTAATGCAGTGGGAATTTATAGATCTGCATTCTTTAACTGTTATAAACAACATTTCAGTGACTCGGGGTATTTTTAAAATTACAATTCCCTAGGAAACTATGTCTATTATATAAAAAATACTCATTTAAACTTATAAATGTCAGCATAAACTACAGTATGAAAAGAATACACATACTAAAATCATCTGAGGAAATAGCAGAAGTACAGAGAGAAGTATCCGAACAATTTAAATTGTATACATACCTGCATGTATATACACTGATGCATGTATGTATATATGTATAAAATTTACATGTGCTTTTATGTCTGTAGGGGTATGTCTATGTGCCAATAATTTGATTTGTATTACTTAAATGTAAGGATGCATGTGTAATGTGACTACTAATTTTTATCTCCCCAGAACTATATGAGTTGGGTGTAAGGTATACTAACATTGTCTAAATGATATCTGAACCCAAGAAACCTCAATTTGGAAAACGTTTTATGCTATTCAGGTGTCTTCTTTGTTGCCGCTGGCAATCTAAAATACTGCCTTAAATTAAATAAACTATAAACTTTAGTAATAGCTTTCAGTTAGAACTACATTCTGATACTCAAATGATGTTGTCATGCTCTCATTTTCTCTCAGTTTTCTTCTGGGGAGATTTTTCACTTGTGGTTTGTAGAGTCTGATACACGATGGGTGTCCGCAGATATTATTTGAAAGGATGAGGGATGATGAGCTGTATTATTAAAAATATGGAAGAATATTTCTTCTTCCATGTTTGCCAATAATTTGAGCAAAAGTCCCATTATTAGGTACCACTGACCTGGTATGACTCACTTGTCTATCATTGCACCAACATTGTGAATAGGGGATGAAACACACAGATGGGCCAGGTATGTCTCTGAGACATGATACAGAGAAGGATACAATTTGATAAATGTGTTTTAAAGCACAGATTTTGTGTCCGATGGTCTATAAGATATTCTGGGGGATCTGCAGATGTGTATGATATCTTCTCTGTCTTCAAAGAATCTACCACCAGGTAAAAATCATTACCTGTAACACTCAGATATGCATGGGTTAAATTTGATAGTATCCACTTCTTTACTCTAGGGATTTAAAAAATCTTTTACTTGGTATACCTCATGAAATCTTCAAGCGAAACTTCATAACTCTGTGAAAATCTTGTGTCGAATTATTATTATTAAAATAAGACATGTTTGGTATTCAGTAATATAAGCGGTTCTTTTTATACATAGTTTATATATTTTGCTTTCTATTCTAATCATTACTACATTTCTGTAAAAAGACTTTTCCAAAGAAAAGTTCTCCTGAAAGTCTAATATTGTTTATTTTGTCCAGTAGAAAATACATACTTTAAAAAGTTTGTTCTTTGGAGGATGTAAAAATAACATTGCAATGAGATATTTGAGTCAAAACTGTCATCATGCACAGAGAGCCACGTTGTAGTTTCTTCTTCATAGTGATGCCATATGTTCTGACTTTACTGAGAGTTACAAGTTATAACTCTCAAGATTAAGGCCAAATGCATGCAACTATTTGGAAAGCCAAGTGGAACTCTGTTGCTTATCCTATCAACTTTTCCATCATCTAAGGTCTTGGCTTAGAATGTTCTAGTGATAATGTAAGAAAAACGTAGCAAGAATATAGCATGGTCTGTCATCATCTACAAGGAATTGACAGAAATATTGCTTTGTCTGTCATCAGATCTTCTGTACTGAGAGGATTAAAGCTTATAAATTGACCCATATAAAATTGCCCATATTTAGGCCAAAATTATCAAATGTCAACCTATGATTCAACCTAACATGGAGGCAAATAATCTATATATCTAAATTTATATAGGCAAATAAAAAGCTATCAAATTACATGAATATAGAGGACACAGTAAAAATAGATGTAACTTTTAAAATCCTGTGTTGTTTATTCTCATGTTTAGCTTAACCAACCCTCTCTTCGTTGATAGTACTAGTAAACTTTAGCTCAAGCACAGCTGAAGTATCACAAATATTTAATTAGTGTGACCCAAATTAACGAGATTGTGGTTCTGCTATATTGCCTGCTTAAACTTATACGCACATTGACTTTTTGTGGAAGGGGAGCCACAAGCAAGGATTTCGTCATCTCTACCTAGTTACTCCAAATTCAAATAATACTGACTTTAGCATCTCATCACGGGAAATTGACATAATTAAGCACTCTTCAAAGAAAAATAGACTCTGATGTCTCCAATGCTATTAAATATTTATTGTGCACATTATCGCAGTAAATTTCCTGACAGAGAGTGAGTCTACCAAAGTAGATCAAATGAGAACATCGCATTGCCTTGTTGCAAGTGTATCCACCTCTATACATTATTAAACAACATACATCTATACACATAAAATATAAATGTAGTAGCCGCATACCGTGGAGGCTGAGGAATCTATGAAAGAAAGTATGTTTAGAGTATGTTTCCCAATACTCCCAATTCTCAGCTCAGATGAGAAGGTTACTATGCTTATTTCTGCCGGCAGATTCCTTCCTGCTGAATATAATTAGATATAAGAAGAAAAAAATAATAATTAAATTATGGATAGTCCTCTTGCAGAAAAATTTTACATCAAAGTAACAAAAAAGGATACTGAATTAGAAAAACAACGCAGTTGTAGAGTCCCTGAATAGGCTTCTTCTAAAAGTAAAATCAACTTTTTCTCAAAGGAGAGAAAAAAGTCTGGTCAATACCATCTCATGGCTATTTTTATCTTATGATCTAGCTGTCCAGAAAAAAACATCTTCATCAGGAAGATTGAGTAACCAGAATAACAAACCCATCTTTTGCTCAAGTAGGATTAATTTTTAACCTTTGAGTGTCTCTTGATTCCAGATGGGAGAAGAGATGTGCCAGACATTTTGCAAAATCATTTGGTTTAAAAATAAAATAACAATGATAGTATGAAATACCCAAGACTTTTAGTGAAAAATAAGAAGAGAAGTTGTAGTCAGCTGGCTTGAACTACTCAAAACGGCATATTCCAATTATTCAGCTATTCAGCTCAAGATAAATATCAGTGCAACCATTCTCTAAATAATCTCATACCCAGCTATAAAGTTAGCCAGTCATTGCCATGGTAATTGGAAAATAATTTCTTCAGAGCAGCACCAGAAAACACAAATATTTATGTATTTTATACATATATATATATATGCCCACATATATATAGTGTATCTATATACACATATATATGTAAGAATTGAATATATGTATTCAATTGAATGTATACATATCTTATATATGTAAGAATTAAAAATATATAAATATTTATATCGTTGTTGTCATGGGAATGGCTATACTGCCCAAAGTAATTTATAGATTCAATGCTATTCCCATCAAACTACCATTGACTTTCTTCACAGAATTAGAAAAAACTACTATAATTTCATATGGAATCAAAGAAGACCCTGTATAGCCAAGACAATCCTAAGCAAAAAGAGCAAGGCTGGAGGCATCACACTACCTGACTTCAAACTATACTACGAGTCTACAGTAACCAAAACAGCATGGTACTGGTACAAAAACAGACATACAGACCAATGGAACAAAACAGAGACCTCAGAAATAACACCACACATCTACAACCATCTGAACTTTGACAAGCCTGACAAAAGCAAGCAATGGGGAAAGGATTCCCTATCTAATAAATAGTGCTGGGAAAATTGGCTAGCCATATACAGAAAACTGAAGCTGGACCCCTTCCTTACATGTTATACAAAAATTAACTCAAGGTGGATTACAGACTTAAATGTAATTGTTAATAAATTAATAAATATATATTAATTAATATGTCTTTATCAACATGCCATCAGCACTGAATATTGTTTTAGAAAAAAATGTTTGCTTAAGATAGATTGATAGATAGAGAGGGAGAGAAAGAAAGACACAGAATTTTAAAAATAGTTTCAGGCATTTTTCCTTTCTCTGTTTTCTATTATCACATTATATTACAATTTAATTGTTTTAAAGCTTACGGAATGATTTTATTATTTATATTATATATCAAATACTTCTGATTTAGAACTGTTTTTGCATTCAGTCTTCTACCCAATGTTACCTAGGTTATTAATGATAAACTGCATATTGAGTACTATGTTTCACTGCTCTTAAAAATTTTCATGTTATGATTTGTGGCTTTCGAATTTTGATGTGCATTATTTTTTCTTGCTCTCTTAAAAAAATAACAAATATATTGATCATTTCTTCTTTGATATGCACTGTTCTAAGTATCTTTTATGAATTACCTACTTTAATACACATTGTTTCTTTATTATTAAACCTATTTTGGACATGAAGACATCGAGGAACTATAGAGCTGATGGAGTAATCTGTACTACAAAGTCAGGCTATCTCTAAATCCTATGTATATAACCAAAATACTACATTATTTCTTTCCTGTGATACATCAAGTTTTTTTTTCCTCAGGAGTTTTTGCAATTATCAGACACATAAAATATCAGATGACAACTTTTTCTTACCTTCACAAAGAAGTAGAAACTTACTTGGGTTTACGTTTCTTAAATCAAAGCGTTTTCCCCCTCAAAAGATAGGGATTTTTAAATAATGCCCTTCTTGTAAAAACAAGCATATTTAACATAAAATAACATATTTCACGGACAAATAAGGTAGGATATTAATCAGATTGTTGGTTTTGTTTTGTTGTATTTGGGAATCAGCAAACTTTTCCATAAAGGTCCAGATAGTAAATATTTTTGGCTTTCCGACGTATGCAGACTGTTGTAACTTCTTCACCTCTGTTGTTGTAGTGTGAAAGCAATCATAGGCAAGTACATAAATAAATAAGTATGATTGTGTTCTAATAAAGCTTTGTTTACAAAAACAGGCAGTGGGCCAGACTTGGTTCTTGTGCTGTAGTTTGCAGATACCTGGTTTTGTTTTGAGCACCTGGATTCTTAGAGTGTTTAATCTTTAAGACAGCTCACAGAGAGGCCATCTTTTACAAATTTCTTGGCTTCAGGATCTTTTTTGTAGAGAATCACATAAAATTAATGTACACTTTTTTCCCTTTTACTCTAGTTAACATTGAAGGAAAAATCTAAGTTTAATACTTCTTGCTCCTTTAAGAACCTCCCACACTTTGATTTTGTTATTAGTTAAAAATAGTCAACTGCCCAGTCACTTGTGAAGTACTTAGGCAATTATAATGTTTCCAATATGAACATTAGATAAGGTATTGCTATGTGCTACAACTCTTAGTCTCCATAATTTCATTTAATAGAAGTCTATCTATCTTGATATGAAATTTGATCAGCAGGCATTGACAAGGGATGCTGCTCTCTGTAGTCATTCAGGATCAGTCATTCATGGATGACACAGGTCATCCATGGGGAGGCTTTAGAGGCCAAGCATTAAAGTGTTGTAAATCATTTCCTTCAAAATCCCATTGGCTTAAAGTTAGTCACATGGCCACATCTAAATGCAAGGGAGGCTGGAAAATACAGCGTTCTGTGTGTAAAGGAGTTTCAAAGAAATGATACTTGGTCTCTTTGACATTATGTTCAGGGCATGAACCTGTTTTCATACATTATTCCTTGAGTACTCTGAGTCTGTCCTTTGCTTACACAAATTTTTTTTCCCAAGCTCAGTACATTTTACAAATTACATATAAATATTATAATGCCTTCTGTTACTGTTAGTCTTCTAGTGCTGAATAACAAGTGCACCTAATAAAAATTAAGGAAAACTGGAAAAATTCAGTTTTGCTATTCCTTTGCCTAAAGCTATGAAATGCTATTTGCCTTCCCAATTATCTTAGGAAATCATGTAAAATATTTTTCCATTGCATAACACTCTAAGTTGGGGACAGAAAGGAATAGAGTCCAACACAAATAATTTTGCTAATCTTCATTAACAATTTCCTCCCTGTTCAACATCCAGCGCTGAAGCCAATGTTACATATTTTGGGAATTATTTTTTAACAGGTTCCCATATCTAAGAACAAACTTTTATTTAGTCAATTTTTAAAATATTGACAAGTGATTTCAAAATCTCAGGGGCTTAGTAGAGAAAAAAATATGCCATCTTCATATTGCAATATGTCAATTGAAGGTCAGTGCTAAATCTTCTCAACTCTCACCCTTTTCCTGTGCCACAAGAATATTATCCTCCATACTGAAGCTGCTTCTTCAGCAAGATCCTATTATAAAGAAAATCTCTGGAATACAGCTGAGTTGAAAAGAGCTGCAGCTGAGCCATCATCAACTTGCAGCTGACATGTAACATGTGTGAGAAATAAATCTTTGTTGTTCTAGGCCAGTGGGATTTTGTGGCCATTTGTTACTAAAGCAAAGTTTATAAATACATAGTCTCTTAATAGATGTACATAGTAAGACAGGAACCTATGGGAAATAGGAAAAGTAGTCTGGAGCAAGTGACAGAATGAAATACACCTGGCTATTCAGAAATTACTTTCCACACAACAGAAAAATAAATATATATGGGTATATATGCATATATGTGTATCTGTGTATAGACCTGTGTGTGTATGTAATGTGTGTGTATGCGGTGTGTGTGTAGATAGTTAGGTAGGTAGATATATTATAGATATAGATATATAAATTTGTTTTAGGGAAGTGCAGAATTGTGGGGGAGGACAGTGAATAAAACTACTTTTAGAGCTTCTTATGGCCATCTGGGCTATTCTGGCTCAAAACTCATATATATACACACACACACACACACATATATATATATATATATATATATATATATATATATATATACACATGCATAGTTTTTGCATGTATAATTTTAAAATATTCTTCTAAATTCATCTTTATTGATTATGTTGTTATTCGAGATTTCCCCTTACACCTTGCATTATGGTCTTATTTTTTCATTTATAGTCTAGTTGTTAGCTTTTGCCCTTTTTTATATCTTTGTGAGTATATTAAAGGCAATTTATAGGCGGGTGTATTGAGAAATATGTGTGCTTCTGTATTAAACTAGATTTATTTTCCAATACTTTTGGATGCTGTTTTTGTCTTCTTTAAAAATAATGTAAACATGACGTTGCACACTTTTCCTAGTGTGGCTGGCTTACTTGGAAACAAAATTGACATCTTAGGAAGAAAGAGTTATTGGTTCAGTGATATTGGTGGCCATCATTATTTCTGTAGATTGCTGGCATGTTTTGGAACTGTAAAGGGAGAGTCTCATTTTGGGGAGGACAGATAGAAGTCTAGGTATTTTAACACTCGCTTTCTCTCCCAGATACATGTTCCATTCATAGTACGGAGGCACTTTGTGCCCCCTTTGCCTTCTCTTCCAGCAGAAGACAGTATCATACTGTATGCTAGGGAAAATTTATAGCTTATTGAATTCACCTGTATTTTCTTCTTCTTCAAGAGCAATGTGAGCAATAAAACATACAAGCTCATGAAAAGACATAACTCTTTTTGTCAGCTGTGTCACTACAATTCAATACATTCACGTACAAGAAGACAGGAGTATCCGCTACAGTGGTACAGCGTTACAAACTCTCACCCTTTCCCCTCCACCCTGACATCTTCCCTTAGAAATAGCAGGAATAATAGTCACTTTGTCATATTCAAATTTCATCACAACAGGACATATTATCTGAGAAGCTAAGTCTTCCAAAAAAGAGAACACTGTCCCTCCTTGATTTATAGTTTCATTTCAGTATCAAGCTCTTTTTCTGCAGTTTGGGGAGCAGGCTTAGACCAGCCTTCTTATAATTCGTCCTTGCTTTCCAACTTGTTTATATTTACCAGTCAGAAAAAAGGATGATGTCAATAGATGAAAAGGAAAAACACAAATCATTTTCTTTATCTCCTCACAGGTGCCTGGAAGAATCACTTATTGGAGGAAAAGGGTATTTAATGCCTTCTTCTTCTTCTAATAAGCAGGACTCTTTCAAATACATAAACTGTTTTAAACTATTTTTATAATGGTTGTTTCAGCAACTCTTTTCCCTCTCATTGATAGTACAGAAAACATACCAATAAAGATGTGTCATATATAAAGGAAGAACTCTAAAATTGATTGAAAGTTGAAATAATTGCCTCTCTGCAGAAATTAATATATTTCAATGAATAATATTTTATGGCAACACGTTTAGAATCGATTTTGTTAAAGTTTTGATAAAAAATAAATACGTTTTGGATTTTTTCCCTAAACATCCCCTAGAGTAAGGGTAGGGTTGTAAAGTACTGTTTATAGTAAAAACTGAATATTGGAGATTTATATAAATATTATGTAAAAAAAAATAAAGACAAGAAAGGAGAAAGAGAAGGTGAAGAAACTGTAAGAAAAGAAAGGGATGAAGAATTTCTGAATTTAAATACTTTAAATTTTTCTAAATTCCATACTGTAGGGTAGGGCACATAGTAAATTATCTGTGTGTGCTTAGCAAATTTGTAAAACCTCACCTTCTCTGAACCTTTGAGTTGAGTGGTTAACCAAATTGCATCAAATTTCAAAATCGAATTAATATTAGGAGCATTAGGCTCCCCTTCAATCTTGGACAGAAGTATCATTAGCACATTGGAAGAAATTTCTAAAGATTTTCCCTTTCACTCCATTTTGACAGGTCCTATTGATGATGATAAATGATTTGTGTGTCAGTTTTCTTTGTACAACTGCATTGCCTGCTAACACTAGCACATTTTTTTTGCTATCTTTTTTACTTGGTGGCAAAGAGCAATGTCCTTGGTATGAGCACAATTGCTTCAGATTTGAAGTACTAAACAAGATAATGAGACCCCATGAGTCACTGATGATGGGAGGAGATTAGATGGAGTGATGGCTCTGCCTCTAGAGACTTCCAGTAGTTAAAAAGCTGCTTAAACCTTCATTCCATAATGAGTCTGACTTCCCAGGGTCTCAACTGTGAGCCAAAAGCAAGTTTGGCACTTTGCAAAATCTATTAAGAGGCAGGGTATGTTTCCATTGAGAGAAACTAACACGTTCTCTTTGAATGAAAATTGGTCAACAATTGGTGTCTGGTAGAGTGACAAAAGCCATAGAGGAAAAAAAATTACAGTTTTGCCATAGTAGAATGAACAGTCAAGAAACTGACAAGTAATTAAGTCTCTTACCTGCCACTAAATTCGAAAGCCTTTTCACAGTTCTAGGTTATTGCATATGTATATAAATACCCTGGGTAGTTGGCAGTCTGTTCTATCAGAGTCTTCATTCAGTGTCTACTGTGCTCAGTTAATGCTGAACGATCCTTGTTTTAACATATTAAAGGTGAAAAATATGTGTTGCTAACATCTGAAAATTGACAGAGACTTTTATTCCACGCAGTTGTTTCTAAACCCAGAGGATGTTTCTTATATGCATTGACTTTCAGCCATTTCATGTGCATGAGATGGTGGTAGATAGAGTCTAGCTGGAATTAATCCTGAGATACAGACTGACAGAGTTCAGGGTTAGCTCAGGAACTAACCATAGGAAAGACATTTGTGGGAAATGTAGTTTCGAATCATGGCGAGAGATAATGTGATTTAGTGCTCATGTCCCACTTTTGTTGCTTTTAATTACATACTTTGGACTGCTGCCTATCCTCTCTGAGCCTCAGCTATCTTATCTTTAAAGTGGGGTAATAAGATGCATAGCCCTCCTATGAGGACTATCTTCATCATCAAGTAAGACGATAATAAATATGAAAGCAATTGAATTGTCAACTGGGAATTAGTGCATGTGCCAGTATTAGTCTTTATCGCGCTTTAATTTAGTTACCATTTATTGAATGTGTGTCAAGTGTCAGGTTCTGTAAAAAGAGCTAGGAATACAAAAATGATTAAGATTCAGTGCCTATCCTTAAGCACAAACATATAATTATTAATAAAATACTCAAATATTCACAGCTAGTCCTAGAAACTTTAGTCCAAGGTGTCATAAACACTTAGATGTCACAGTATTTTTAATTACTCCTTAAACATATTTATATTTTTTATAGAATAAAACAGTGACTACTACTTCCTATGGTATCATTCCCCTTCTGCCTATTTTCCCTTCTAGGTACAGATGTTTCCAGTAAAGGCATAATTCCCACTATTGCTGTAGAGTGGGCAGAGGGCATGAAGGCAGTCCCAGTTCTGCTACTGATATAGTTTGGATTTGTGTCCTCGCCTGAATCTCATGTTGAATTGTAATCCCCAATGTTGGAGGAGAGACCTGGTGGGAGGTGATTAGTTCATGAGGATGGAGTTTCTCCTTGCTATTCTTGTGAGTTCTCATGAGATCTGGTTGTTTAAAAGTATGTAGGGCTGGGCACAGTGGCTCACACCTGTAATCCCAGCACTTTGGGAGGCCGAGGCGGACAGATCACTTGAGGTCAGGAGATCGAGAGCAGCCTCGCCAATGTGGTGAAACCCCATGTCTACTGAAAATACAAAATTAAGTGGGCATGATGTCACACACTTGTAATCCCAGCCACTTGGGAGGCTGAGGCAAGAGAATTGCTTGAACCTGGAATGTAGAGGTTGCAGTGAGCAGAGATCATGCCACTGCACTGCAGCCTGGGTGACAGAGCAAGACTCTGTCTAAAAAATCATAATAATGATAAATAAATAAAATAAATAGAAGTGTGTAGCATCCCCCCTTTGCTCTCTCCCTCCTGCTCCAGCCCTGTAGGACTTTGCTTCTCCTTCACCTTTCACCATGATTTTAAGTTTCCTGAGACCTCCCCAGCCATGCTTCCTGTACAGCCTGTGGAACCATGAGCCAACTAAACCTCTTTTTAAAAATAAATTACCCAGTCTTAGATAGTTCTTTAGAGTAATAAATTACCCAGTCTTAGGTAATTCTTTAAAGCAATGCAAGAATGGACTGATACAGAAAACACTGTTCACTCTTCTGTTCCAAAACACCAACCACAACTAACTCCTAGTGTTGTCAGATTACATCTCTCCACCACTCAAAACCTCCATTGACTGCCACTGAAGTTAGAATAATATTTACCTTGTTTACTGCCACCATGTCTCAGCTGTCATCTCTAACCCTTCTACCCTGTCTACCATGCCCCAGTCACACTGTTCCTTCCTGGTTTTTACACAGTTCTGCTCTAGCTGCATTCACTCTTCTCTTTGGAGGGAATGTAATCTCTGAGATACCCGCACAGCTATCTTCTTCACTTTCCTCTAGTCTCTTCAAAGGGCTGATTCCAGAAAGGTCTTCTCTGTCTTCTTTCTGAAATAGCATGATAATTCCTTTATCAATTCCTGATATTTTATATTTTGGAATGTTCAATGTCTACTCTTACCTACTCCATGCAGAGCCTTCTACCTCTAACTTGCTATTGCTACATGTGCTGCATTTGGGGACAAATGCTCATAGATGGCAATGACCCACAGTCACTGGTACTGAAAAACTATTTCTAAAAAAACAACGTGACCTCATTACACTGGTATGACTTTTTAGTTGATGAAAAAAGAAGAGTGTATTTGAATGGAGTTTATAGTTTTCCAGATTGCATAAGTACTAGTATATTCTTCCATTTCATGTTTCATTGAACCTAAACAGTCCTTATATGTTCCCTCTGCACTTGTGATCTATAGAAAGTATTTCCTCCCATAGCTAATAGCTTCTAGCTCATTTTTAGAACAGAGAAAAAAGAGAACCAACATTTATTGCACTCCAACAAACAATCATGTGTTTAATTTACATGCACATGATCTCAATTTTACAGTTGAGGAAACAGTTTCAGAATTGTCAAGTAACTTGCTTAAGGTAAGTGGTAGGTCAAGGTTTGGAATCCACATCTGTATAACTCTAAAACCACTACCATTTAAATTATTCCATCCTTCTTCTTTCTTCCTCATACTTCAGAATCATAACGTGCCTCAAATCAATTCTTAAGATTTACAGGCCAGTTGTTGACATTGTAGTATCCTCTCTTTGAACACTGGAATTGAGCAACTTCAAAGAGTCATTGGACCAAGGTCTTCATGCTTCAAATAAACCTGCATCAAAGAAACCTGGCTAGAAGACAAAGATCATGCTTTATTCCCCCACAAAAGGATTATGTTTAGATTTAATGTTGATGCCTCAGTTAAGTGCTCACTTTGAAAATCAATACAACATTGTGTGCTTGGTTGGCTCAATACCTCTCAGTCAATATTAATAAAAAAACAGCAACAAAACAATGCACTTTGACTCTTTATTGCTTGTCTCTGGATCTTTTGGCCTCCTAAATATTAATCAAGCATACTTATTCCTTATACATAATAGCAACTATGTAGTTCATTCAATAAGTGGGTAAACTGAGGCAAGTTGGCCTATGGCAAGATATACACATGCACCTTTGTTCTCCCAAAGAAAAAATCAATGTCCAACAGTGAGTGCTAACATAGCTTATGTAACATTGAGCAGAAGTCAGCCCCAGCAGGAGAGTGCATTTTTTCCTTATTCCCTCTAAGATCATGATTGTAGAGGCAGTAAATGTGAAGCAAAACCATAGGTCAGTAAGAATGTACTTTAATTAGCAACTATCTGTTATCCCAACTTAAAATAAACTTGAACTACAATAGTCTACAAAAACAGAAGCTTGAACACAGAGAATCCCTGATGAACGCAAAAAGAATTGTGTTTCTATTTAAGACAAGTGAAAGGTCAACTCAAATGTGGAGGTAAGATTACTAGAATTGCTTTCTCCATTATGGTTGGATGAGAGTAGCTAGGCTGAAAGAGTGTGGGTGGGGTCCTACACACCATGTTTTGTGTGTGAGTAATTTACCTCACACTCCTGTCAGTTACCATACTTTTTAGTTTAGGGTCCTATTGCTTGTAAGGTGCATCACCAACTTAATGACCTTAAGGGGAGAAATAAAAAGGGACAAAGGAACACTAACTCACTAAATGAAAACATTGACTTTCAGGTGAGTCCGAGTTTAGAAAACGTTTTTTAAAATCTGTACATCTCAAAATTAAAGAATGCTGTATCAATGCCTGATTAGCACCTCTTGGAAAGGCTCTTACAAGAAACACTTGGAGAAATGTCATTGTTAACTGTAATTCTTCCTGGATTATAATACCTACATAAAGAGTAATTTTACTCTTGATATTCATATTAGCCTTCTACCATCAATCGAGTACAGTGAGTATTTACTTAAAGTCATCAATGGGTTCTTGTAAACTGTAACTTTAAGCAAAATGACATATAATGAAAATAATTTTACCATAGGCTAATTGATATAAAGAAGAATTAAGTTCCTGTGGCATATTTCTCATCATAAAAACATCACCATACTTCTAAATACAGATGAAAACACTTACAATATTAAACATGGAAATACATGTGAACTATATATACATTTAAAACAATTAATAAAAACAAGTGAGATATTATTTACCTACTTATTCCAGTTAAAAATCATGGATGTCCAGAACCTATCCCAGCAGCTCAGGATGCAAGGTAGAAACCAGCCTTGGACAAGACCCCATTTCTTTGCAGAGTGCAAGCACACACACCCACACTCACTTGGACTGGAACCATTTAGACACAATTAACGTGCACGTTTTGGGGATGTGGGAGGAAACCAGAGCACCCAGAGAAAATCCATGGAGACATGGAGGGAACCACCAGGCTTTACACAGAGAGTGGCCCCTGTTGGTAGCCATTTTTTTTTCTGTCATCTATGTTACAACGAAATGACATTGACTGAAAGGATGTTATTCAAAGATCTCCTATACTTACTGCATGCCTAATACTGCCTAGGCACCATTTAATTTAAGTTAATTTTAAAAGTTATCTTATGTTCATGGGAAAACTGGAGCTTAGGTAGGTCAAGGAATGTCCTGAATATCATATGGTCAGTGACAGAATAAATATACAAATCCAGATGTGGGGATTCAGAAGACCTTACCTTCACATTACACAAACACTAAGGTCTGTGTTAATTAAAATTGCTTAATTGCATGCAGTAGAAACTGACTAAATCTGACATAAGAAGGAATGGAGTTACCAGAAGGATATGGGAATAGACATAAAGGAGGCTAGGGAACCAGAGAATCTCTGGTCATCCAAATTGAAAAAAATTACTGGCCATCGTCTTTGACTGCTACCATTGCTATGAATTCACTCCAAACATTTTCAGCCTTTTGGTTGCTGTTGTTAAATTTCAGAGAAAGATAACACAACTGTCCAAACTTAGGCTATCTTCCCATATTTTAGTTGTGGATGAGCAGTGTCCTATGCTTGACTGTTCTTCCAAACTATATCCAGTGGTGAGATGAAAGCGACACCTAACACATTGCATCATTACAACAAGGAGAGAGAACAGATGCTAGATCGTAAAACATCAAGTGATTATTGGAAAGTCTTTGTCAGAGGGTTGCTTTGAAAAGTCAACAAAATTATATTAAACCAGGATAGGAGACAGATTGAAATTGGAACAAAAAAGTTGTTGTGGTATGTTTTGGTCCTGAGTCTTTACGTCATTTTAACTTACCAATACATCACAAGGCCATCCCTCCTGCCCCAGTCCTGACCTTCTTCCCGATCACAAAACAAAGAGGTTTGGCCTTCTGATTTATACTTGGATATCACAGAAGGCATGACCATCTTAATAAAATATCCAAATTGTCATTGCGTCTTCTTTAATTCATTTTTAGAATCAATTAGTAATTGATTATCTACTAGGTGCTAAGCAATGAACTTGGTAATAAATACATTTGATCCCTGTTTATGGAGTTTGGATTCTAGAGACATTGGATAAGAAAACCCCAAGTAAATATATAATTTTAAAATTTTAAATTAAATTCAATATGTCAGAAAATCAGAAACCATCTGTGTATGCACATATATATTTGTATTTTTCATTCATGTAAATGCATTTTTATATTAAAGACAATTAGATAGTTATCAGTATCTCAAGAGTTACATTTTAGAAAAAAATGCATATCTTTAAACAACTAAAATGTAACATAAAGCTATTTTCTGAATGAAACCATTGATATTAAATTTGAGTCCATGGCATAAAATGAATTACCATGTCTCATGAAGTGTTTTGTCAAACTTTTGACTAGATGACTAGAGGACTTGTTGAGGTCCCTGAAATGTTATTTTCATTCTACACATTGGAAAATTAGGGTATTAGATCAGTCGACCTTTAAGTTTCCTTGAAGTTTCAGAATTTCATGTCTCATTATATTTATGTAACAAAATGACTCCATAAACTAAATTCCAATGTGATGATATATACAAGAAAATTCTTTAATCTTACAAGCCAGAACAATATAATAGAAAGCACTGTAAACAATAAATGAATTAATCTGTTCAGCAAATGTTTATTCAGTCCTAACTCTTTGCATAGTTTCTCAGGACATGGCACACATGGACTCACAGGTAATACCAAGAGAGGACAATTCTGAAGGAATTAAAGCTGTTCCCTAGCCAATATCCAAATACAAAGTTTCAAGAGAGATTTATATTTCTCTGAGATGTGAATACTAGGTCTGGAGATGCCTGCTCCCTATTTGTTCAAGTGATTTTGATTAATGTTACTTAATTTTTTTATGGCTCTTATCTTTTGGAGGTTGCCCAATAAGTCTTCATAAATGTCTCAGGAATGACATTCTTCTTCTTTCCTTTAAAAGGACACTATAAAATGGAAAGATTAGACTATATATATTTTTATGTTCCAGGCTTCAGTCTGATAATTAGTGAGGAGGTAACAATATAAATGAAGTACTGTGATTTATTATAAAAAAGAATTTGAATTTCTAGTAAAGACAGTAACATGTTTTCAAAAAAAAAACAAAACAGAAATTTTTATTCTTTAAGAATGAGATCCTTAGCCATAGTATTCAATATTTTTGCAGTATCTCTAATACAATCTAAAGTAGAACAGATTTTCTTTCCCCTAAAGCTTTGAATAAAAACTTTCCCATGACCAGTATTATTTTCTCTTTGAAAGAATATTACCTATCCCATTTATCTAACTTTTCAGTTAGTATTAATAATAGCATTTCAGCAAGGATAAAAACAAATAAACTGCCCCTAAAATAAGCTTTAGTTATCATTAGGTACCTACTGCTGCTTATGTGAGTATCAGAACCAGAGATGGAACCCTGGGGTGCTGGATTCTAGCCATTCTCTTCTTGTTAAATCATAGTTGGCTCTGATATGAATGTAAGATGTTGGGCAGATGTTATCAAATATGCTTCAATGAGAGGGGATCATAAAGCTCTTAAGTCATTTATGCTTCTAAATGTCAAGTAACTAAATTGATATTCCCATCTGCTTGGAACCTTACTGGGGAGAAAGGAAAATGAGGAATGGAAATTCTAATTCTCTTTCAAAATGACTTCAGTGTGTTATCATGCCAGGGACATCTATTTTTGATGTTTCAAGTTTAGAAAAGAGGGATGGATAACTTTAGCGGCTCTTTTAAATTTTATTTCTTTGAAATGCCAAATAGTTATGTGCATTCTCCACACCCATGATTGAAAGCAACGGGGTTGTTCTTTAAAGGCAAGAGTGATAAAATGTTAGGTTTAAAACGGCAATGAGTCTGCCATTGTTATCAATTCTTTACATACTTGCCTGCCTTTTTCTTTTCTTTCTTTCTTTCTTTCTTTCTTTCTTTCTTTCTTTCTTTCTTTCTTTCTTTCTTTCTTTTCTTTCTTTCTTCCTTCCTTCCTTCCTTCCTTCCTTCCTTCCTTTCTTTTTTCTTTTTCTTTTTTTTTTTCATTATCAAAGCTGAGGGCCCTCTTTTTCTTTGCCTCTGTTCTCCCTGCTAGCATGATCTTGATTTTCCTCCCTGGGTGTAAATTCTGTGCTCCATTAACCATTCTCCAAGTTTACGCAATAAATGGCATAGAAATATAGATGTGTAAGACTTTATAGCATTTAAAGGATGAGAAACCAAGTCGCTGAGACCATTATTGTTGTCCTCTAAGAAAGCCCTTATAGCTAATACTTACTAAATAATTGCCATAGCCAAACACTACTCTAAATTATTAAAACATATGGTAACTCTTTTAGTCCCTCATACTATGAGGTAGCTAGCATTATCATTTCCATTTCACAGATGAGGCAAATGAGACATGGAGTGCTTAAAAATTTCTCCAAAATAACAGAACTAGACAGGGGAAGAACAAGAGGTGGAACCCAGATTTTCTGGCTCTTAGCTTTTGTATGAGTTTCCTATTGCTGCTATTATAAATTTAGTTACTGCAAACTTAGTAGCTGAAACAATACAAATGTATTGTCTTACAATTCTGGGGGTGAGAATCTGGCAGTGGTCTCACCGGGGTTATGGTCAAGGCATTTTCAGGGTTGTGTTCCTTCTCAAGGCTCTACTAGAGAATCCGCTCTCTCTTTACAGCTTCCAGAGGCCGCTCACTTTTCTAGGCTCATGCCTTCTTCCTCTATCTTCAAAGCCAGTAACATCAGGCTGAGTCCCTCTTCTGTTTCCATCTCTCTGGTTTTTACATTTTATTCCCTCTTCCTCTTTTAAAGATCCTTGTGATTACACTGGTCCACATATATAACCCAGTATAATCTGTCTGTTTTAGTCAGCTTATGAGAACCTTAACTCCATCTGCAACTTTAATTCCCCTTTGCCTTGTAATGTCACACATCACAGATTCCGGAGATTAGGATGTGGATATCTTTGGGGAGCATTACATTGCCTGCTACAGCTTTTACATTGTACAACCTTTTCTCACTAGGATTGCCTTAATAGTATTAGCTGTCTCTTAGAGACCAGGTTAGGTGTCTTTATACATGTTTTTACTTGGTTCTCACAGAAGGCAGGCAGCCTTCTTTCTTATTAACAGATGAGATAGGTTCTGAGAGGTGAGTACCTTATGAAAAGTAAGGGGGTGGAGTTAGAATCTACATTTATCCACTCCAAAACCTTGTTCTTTTGTTGTACTGTGAAATTTTGACTAATTTGCCTATTCTTTTATTAGGATTTTTAATTAATAAAGTACTGAAGAATTGAACAACTCCACCTTTCCCTTTTATAAAGAGAAAAAAAAAAAAAAGCCTGTTCCCAGTCTTTCGACAATTCAAGAGCTTATTCCTTGCTTTGGTAAGCATAGTTGGCTGAATTTGCTATGACCAGCATACTAAAGGCCCTAGATAAGATTATAGTTTCCTTGATGATGCAGGAAGCGACTCAATATCAGGAAAACTGTCAAGGTTCATAGTGATCATAGTATGGTAATGAGAAAATAGCTCCAGAGGCTCAAATATGTCATGTTGTAGTTGTCCTCATCTGTCTTCTGCAGATTTTGGATTTCTTCATCTGTAAAATGGATATGATAACATACACCTTGAATGGTAGTGAGAATTAGAGATAATGCATTTAAGACAAACTATCTCACGAGTTAATAAATGGTAGAAATCATTGTGATTTAAAATATATGTCTGATATCTTAGCTTCTTGTAGGTCTGCTTTCAAAAAAAAGTGTAACAATAAAAATCCAAGTGTTTTGAAAAATTAATTAGGTTTTAGTTCTTTTTTTATGAATAATGACCACTCAGAAGACTCTGAGGCATCCAGGGAAGCTATGGCAGGGACCATCTTACTCAAGGTTTCCTGAAAATGGCAGAGAACAGCATTGAAGAAAACTGTGGCTCAGGCTCATGCAGACTTCTGTTTGAAGTTCGACCCCACAGACTTATGAAACCCTGTAAGTCTAACATCTCCTTTGATTTCTTTTCTGTTTTAACCCTCAAAGTACTCTAGAAAACATCAAATCTAGGACATCAGTGATTACGAGATGCAACAATTGTGTGTGTAACATTAGAAGAAAAGAAAAAAAAACGCTGAAAGCACCTATTAAACCACAAAATGTGATTGATTGTGCGATAAGAATTTTGGAATTAATGCAAGACAATGCTACATATTTTAATTATTTATTTTGTTTTGGTGTGTGTCCTTACACTACGTGGTAATCTTTATTAGGGTAAGTGTCTCTTTAATGGTGTAATACCATTATTTTCTCAGCATCAAAATCAGTACCTGGAACACAGTTGATGTTTAATAAACATTTGTTGAATAAATGGCAGGGGGTGCTTCCCAGGGGTATGAGTCATAACCTTACCCTCCAAGAGTTCCTTGTATATTCATATAAATAATAAAATAGAGTACAAAAAATAATAAAATATCTTAGCATATAACTTGCATTTTCATAAAGCAACTTGACATACATTGTCTCTTTTGTTTATTACCTGCATTGTGTAACTCAGGTTTAGGAAAGGAAAGCACCTTGCCCATGGCCTGGCTGTGGTCAAGCAAAGACCCAATGCTAACTGAGAGACAATATTTTTTTTTCTGTACCATGTTTCAAATTCTTGTAAAAGAGAAGTAAACTGAAGAACTGTTTTGATGAATTTACTAACTGTTGCATTGAATTAGCTGGGTCAATCTGTGGAAGTGTGCCAGTACTGGTGGATTCAGGAGCATGGCTGACTGTATGGTCAGTTGTTTATAAAATTGTTGACCCTTGTGCTTACATGTCACATAAAAACCAGCTGGTGGCTGAGCGCGGTGGTTCACGCCTGTAATCTCCACACTTTGGGAGGCCAAGGCGGGCAGATCACCTGAGTCCAGGAGTTCAAGACCAGCACGGCCAACATGGCGAAACCCCATCTCTACTAAAAACACAAAAAAATTAGCTGGATGTAGTGGCTCACACCTGCAGTCCCAGCTACTCAGGATGCTGAGGCAGGAGCATCACTTGAACTTTGGAAGTGGAGATTGCAGTGAGCAGAGATCATACCACTGCATTCCAGCCTGGGTGACAGAGTAAGACACTGTCTCTAAACAAATAAAGAAACAAACATACAGCTGGAAAATCAATGAGATATGATGGTCATGAAAATCAGCACATGGCCTAGGGAAAAAATAAGCCAAGTTCAGGCCCAGGCAAAAAAAAAAAAAAAGTGGATTGAAAATTAAAAGATTTTTAAACATTGAACACATAAATAGATAGATGAAAGATGATAGAGATAACACTTGTCTACATACAGGTATGTTTTACAAATAAACACACAAGTATATGTTATACTATATAAATATGCATAAGACAATATTTTTTATACTTAAATGTTTTAAAAAGAGTTTTGTAAAAATAAGTGAAGTGTATAAATTTTTCTAAAGTAAGATCCCTAGAACCTCTTCCTTCCTATCTCTCCAACAGTAGCAACAATCATTAACAATTGGTTGTCATGTTTTTACTCATGTCTAAATCAACTTATACCCACACACACACACACAGCTATACAATTGTTTTTCATTTTTAACAAAAATGATATCCTACTATACATACATTTTTCTATAAATAATTTTATTCACTCATTTATCATATATCCTCTTCCATTAAAATATATACAAATTACACTCCTTTTTAAAAGCTGTATGCTATTAAATAGTATGAATGTGTTGTGATTCATTTAACCAGTATACATTATTTCATGTTTGTACTTCTATAACTGTATGTAATAACCAACTGTTGCATAAATATTTGTTAAATATATTCTCTTTGTTTCCCTTTATTTATTGTTTTCTCATGAAAAGTCTCACACAGATTTCTTTCTTTTTTAAATTGTATATATTTTAGGTATACAACATGATGTTTTGACATACATATATAGTGAAATGATTACCACAGTTGAATAAATTAACATATTCTTCATCTCACATAGCTACTTTTTCTTTTTCTTTTTTGGAGGGTGGGATGGGGGGGAAGGACAGCTAAAATCTACTCTCTTAGAAAATTTCCAGTATTCAATACAATACCATTAATCATAGACCCAGTGCTGCACATCAGACCTTTAGACTTATCCTAAACAATGTCAATACTGTACCCTTTGACCTACGTCTAAGGACACTTGTCCTGAGATGGGAAGGAATGATTAGTAAAGGCACTAAAAGGAAAGCAGTCAGCAGTGAGAGTTGTATGCCTGATTTAAGAGCAAATTCATTTGTTTTTGTTTCCATGCTTGTTTTTCTGTAACTACTTTTTATATATCTGTTTGTTTTAACATTAAGCACATTTCCAAAAGAAAAGAAAAAGAAAAACCAAAACACTGGATAATGAAATCTTAAAAGTTGAGAGCTCTGAATTGTTATACAGCCTGACCTCCTACTTCACACAGAACCCTTCTCTGTAGACCTTCAGGCCTTCCCATAAGCTTCTTTCTCTTCCTGAGATGACCTTCAGCCCCTTCACTTAAACCTCTTTACCTTCCAAAGTTCCGCTTGTGGCCCTGTATTCAAGGACCTTTCTCTGTTTGCTCTGAAGGATTAGGATGTCCTTCCTGTGCTCTGAGAGCACACTGTGTTCGCATTTATCAGGATACTTTCCACATGCTACTGTGTTTGCAGATGTGTCTTTCTGTTTCCTGTGAGATTGTGAGCATCCTCAGGGGAAGGAAATTTTTCATTCACTTTTGTGCTTCCAGTGCATAATATGGTGTCTAGAGAAGTATCATCCCTTCTTTTTGTGATAGAATGATTAAATGTATTAATATATGCATTGCTTTATTTTTTTCCCTTTTTTGGCTGATGTATGTGTCTGTGAATTTAATTGACATATGTGCTGTGTCAGCTTTGAGGTTCAGAATGCTGGAAGCATAATAACTAACTTTGGGTAATCTTAAGCAATAAGAAATTATCTGTGTTCTGGAAGAAAAGAGAGGTGGCTATTTGTGCAAGGATGGCTTGTTTGCTTCAATGTATTGATGGAGAGAGGTAACCTAGGTTATACTGTGTTTGTTGTCTTTATGTGAAATGATGCAGATATCTGCAGTATCTTTTTCTCATTAAAGAGTTGTCTTAAGGAAACAACTCAGCAACTGTCAGGGCAGTGGCAAAATGAGTCATTGATTTGTAGTCAGAATAGCCAACTCTATGCTAATAGATTTGCCAATTTTTCAGGGCCTCTTTTAGAATTCACCTTCCTGTCACACAGCATAGCACTTGGTTTGCTACTTTGAAGTGAGGAATGTCCCTTCTTGTGACCCAAGCTGTCTGCCCCTCTGTCACTAGATACTAGCTTCTAGAGTAAGTTTGTACCTTTCACTCAAATAAATGCCACTAGAGCTTAAGGTGAAAAGATTCACCTCAATGTTTTTTCCAGATAAATTGTGATGCTAAAGACATTCTCAGGTGGAAAGCTGAGGTTCCATTTATGTGGGGAAATATGAGCCCCCTCTCCCAAATTCCACGTAGTCCAACAGAATTCAAAATGATAGTTATTTCTTGACTGTGAAAATGGCCAAGCAGCCTGAGAAACCACTTAGTCTTACTTTATTGGAAACTGAAGCCAAAATTTCTGAGTGCCTGTGGTTTCCCAGTCAGAAACTGACTGAAACAAGACTCAAATGCAAGTCTGACGACCATGCCACATGGCTAGAAATGCATCCTCCCTTTTTCTTCTCTGCTATAGGCTGGCACTAGAGGTGTGTATTATTGATTGGTGGACAGTCAGGGTGTTGTGTTGAATGGTTATGGCAGCTCTTATAAAAGCCATGCTGGATCTTCATTTTCCTCTTCTCCTATTTCCAAAATCAATGTAGCATATCGTTTAAGTGTAGACGCCCTTAAGCCAAGCCACACTGGTTAGGACTCAAAATTTACCTCTAAGTAGCTACAATAAATAAATGAATTGGTTAAGTGACTTAATTTCTCTGTGCTTCAGTGTCTTCAGTAACAAAGTTGGATAGCCATGATACCTCCCATGATATGAGCAAGTTAAAAGAGTTAACCAAAGTCCAGTACCTGGAATAGTGACTGGCACATGCTGAGCACTCAAGCAACCTTACGTGTGCTTAGTCATAGGAGTGTGTAGGAATGACTTGAGCGCTGATGTCTTCCTACTTCCCCCTTTTTATTTAGAATTGGAGTGAGATCCTTATTTTGCTGTATATTACTCACGGTCTCAACTCTATCTCATTTGTTTCAGTATATTCTTAGATCTTCTGCTTATATTTGAACTGTGAAAAAATAAAGACAGAATGGTATAGAGGCTAAGAACACGGGTTTGGGAGTCAGTCATACCACATTTTGGCAAGACTGGAATCAGCCCACATGTTTTCCTTTCCTGCCTTCAAAATCTCAGCCAGAGCCACTATCTAAGGCATATGGAATGTTTTATGTATCAACACAAGCTCCAGTGTAATGTCACATAGAACCAAGGGACCCACTTTATAGCAAGGGCAGCGTTAAATTATAGATATGCTTATGGAATCCACTTGTTCTTTTATATATATATATCACACCACCCAGAAACTGCTGGCCTAATAGAGCAATAGAACCAAGCTGTTGAAGACACAGCTGAGGCACCAACTTGCAGACAATACCCTGTGAAGATGGGGCATCATCTTCTAGGACACCACACACACCTTATATGAACATCCACTAGATGACATTGTGTCTCCAATGGGTAAAATATATAGGTCTGGAAAGCAGTAGGTAGAGCCAAGAAGGTCTGTGCTTTCCATTATTTTCAGTGATCTACTTGATAAATGTGCGGTCCACACCCCTCAACTTTGTGTTCTTTGTGGTTAGAAGATATGATTTTCAAAAGGGAAATGTGTCCATCAAGATATCCACTGAACTTTAGTCTAAGACTTACTCAAGTGCCATGGGCTTCTTCTGCCAAGGGATCACCTGGGTGGAATACAATTCACAATCCTGGTAGGTGTAATTCACCCAGATCTTTACAAGGGGGAAGAGCTGTTGTCCCGTTATGGAGAGAGGGACCAATATGTTTGAAATTCAAGTTATCAACTTGGATATGTCTTAGTTCTCCCTTGCCTAATGTTGATGATACAAGGATAAGTTTAATGGCTGATGCTGCAAAATAACATGGGAACCAGGGGTACAGACTACTCAGGAATGAGGATCTTGTCCACACCACAAGGTGAGCCACCAGGATCAGTAGAGGGGCTAAGTAAAGGGAAGGGGTTTTTAGAGTGGATAGTAATAGACGAAGGTCATAATTAGCTGTGGCTGCAACACCAGTTACAGCAGTGGGACTGCAGTTCATCCTACGAATCTACCACTATCTTGCATTTTTTCTAGCAAAAGAAGCCCACCAGAACTTTTGATATGATGCAAATATATTAAACTGACATAAAGGGTAAACTATCATATATTCTGTACTGTGCTATATCAATCTCTCTTTTAGGATTGATATAGTCACCCAACTGCTGATTAGATTGCCGCTAAAAACTTGTGGTTTTCAGATGAAGAAGGTTGACTAGCCCCAAAGTCCTCCTTTGCAGTACATCTTGTATGTAATTACTGATTGCTACAGTGGTGTGAAGGCCTGGAGTCCTCACCTTAACTTGTGACAACTCTGAAGGGCCATCCTAGCTCCAGAGCATTGGTTACAGCCTTCCTGTAATACTGCATCAGAACCTGACATGTCCCTTTGTTCAATCCTGCTTTCTTTCTTTTTCCTCATGAATGAGGAAATCATTTACTAATTTTACTAAATTTTACTAATTTTTACTTACTAATATTTACTAAAGTTTACTAATGAGAACAATCATTAGTAAACTTTTTGCACGTGAAGCTTTATCTCGTATTTCCTGAGGACTTCAACCTATGTTGTCACCTGAATATACACCTACCCAAGTAGGAAATGACATACACAGAAGTTATCTAGTTCAGCACCACTCCAAAGGACAAGGTTTCATGAGCAAGACTAAACTGTCCTTTAAATAAACTATGGTATCCTCACAATGCAATACTGCACAACTTTCAAACACTAAGGAAAATCTCTATGAAGTATATGGAGATAATCTCATGATATATTATAAAGTAAAAAAAGAAATAAAAAAGCTTCAGAGCAATATAATAATATGTGACTTTTATGTATGAAAAGACAGAAAATAAAAATAGAAAATATATGCATATATCTATTTTGGCCTAATAAACAATAAAGTAATAAATGAAAACAGCTTATATAGGGATGGGTGTGAGTAAAATGGATAGGAAGGAGCTGAGACTAGAATTATTTGGAATTTAAAGTACTGTTGACCTTTGAAACAAGTAAATATTTCACATAATCAAAACATAAAAATAAAATTTTAAAGAAAATATAGTAAGCCTTAATATTGAATCCAAATAGCAACATATAAACATACAATGACAACATAAATACATAAGGGCAGCAATCATTTCAGAACCTGTGAAACACGACTCTGACTATATATCCTTAATAAGATATTTCGTAAGGGCAAAAAAAAAAAGAGTCTGAAAAGAATTTAGATTTTACTTACTAGGATTATTGCCAGTTGCAACTTTTATTTTGTAATTTGAGTTTTTTATGTATGTCGTAAAATTGAGAAAATAATTTAATATTTTTATACCATTAAGAACAGTGGAAAGAATACAAAACATAAAATAACAAAAGTTTTTTTTTTTTTTTTTTTTTTTTTGAGATGGAGTCTTGTTCTGTTTCCAGGCTAGAGTGCAGTGGCACAATCTTGGCTCACTGCAACCTCTGCATCCTGGGTTCAAGTGATTCTCCTGCCTCAGCCTCCCAAATAGCTGGGACTACAGGCACACACACCACTATGCCCGGCTACTTTTTGTATTTTTAGTAGAGACAGGGTTTCACCATGTTGGCCAGGCTGGTCTCGAACTCCTGATGAACCCGTGATCCACCCGCCTAGGCCTCCCAGTGTGCTGGGATTATAGGTGTGAGCCATCATGCTTGGCCCAAAAGATATTTTAAAAAGCTCTTTAAAGTTTGAATAGGGAATATCTGGTAGATCAGATTGCAAATACACAGATACACACACCACAAACCAATGATCACTGAATTTGTGGTGGTGCTAAAGCAATACATATTCAGTAGAAACTGTATTTTGAGTACCTATACAACCATTCTGTTTTTAACTTTCACTACAGTATTTAATAAATTACATAAGACAGTCAACACTTTATCATAAAATAGGCTTTGTGTTAGATGATGTTGCCTAATTATGCACTCATGTAAGTGTTCTGGGCACATTTAAGGTAGGCTAGGCTAAATTATGATATTCAGTAGGTTAAGTGTGTTATAAATAAAGTTTCAGTGCTGCAAAAGAAATAGCACTCAAATATAAAATTTTCTTTTTAATTCTCAGCAAGGCAATGTACTTCTATAGAAGGGTGCACCCTTACAGATGGAGCAATGGTGAGTGCACACTTGGACAAGGGAGGGGAACGGGTTCTTATCCCTGACACATGTGGCCCCTGCTGCTGTGCCATTCCCCTATCGTCTAGGGTTAGCCAGCATAGGCTAAACTAATTCCAATTGTCTAATTTAAAGAGAGTGACAGGGTGAGTGATTTGGTGGGAAAAATGGTTATGGCAGAGCAGGAAATTGGAATGAGTCAGGGTGCAGAATGAGCAGGTAATTGGAATGAGTCAGGGTGGAGAATGAGTCAGGATGGAGAATGAGTCAGGGTGGAGCAGGTGATTGGAATGAGTTAGGGTGGAGCAGGTAATCGAAAAAGGTTGATTTACAAGGAAGTTTAAAACTAGAAGGCAAAGAATTTAACATACTGACATATTGATTCTTTGAAGAGAAATTTAGCACTCATATCTAACAAGGGTATTAAATGCATGTTTATGAGGCCATAACCCCATTGTAAGTTGAGGAGCATCTATATAGATAATATTTCTACGAAATTCTACTTTACATAATATATCTACAAAAATCTGGACTCACAAACATTTCCAATTCAAATTTAGCCTTAATTCAATATTAATGATTTTTTAAATTATTAAATTATTCACATGGTGTCAAAGCACCATGGAAATTTATCTTTACATAGGAGAAGGATTAGTGTTACCTTGTGGTGGGCAGATTCTAAGGTGACTCCCATGATCCTTGCTTCTTGGTGCTCATGTCCTTGCACAATCTCCCCTTGAGTGTGGACAGAACTATTAGCTTGCTTCTTAACAAGCAGAATGTGGCAAAAGTAACAGGATGTACACTATTACCTGTATTTTACTAGGTTATATGACATTGTAATATCTGTTGTACGAGCAACTCTTTCCCTTGCTGGCTTTGAGGCCACAGTTGCCGTGGTTTGAACAGACCTATTAAAGGCCATGTGGCTTGGTAAGTAATTGAGAGCTGTGTCCAGTAACTAGGCCAAGGCACTGAGGCCGTAAATCTGGAAGCCCAAAAGAAGCTCAATGCTGCAAATAACCACATGGGCTTGAAAGTGGCTCCTTTCCCAACTGACTTTCAGATGAGACCATAGCCTGTCTTGATTTCTCCATGTGAAATTCTGAAGATGAGGACCAAGCTAACCATGCTTGGACTCTTGATCCAGAGGAAATGGAAGATAATAAGTGAGTGCTGTTTAAATCTACTAAATTTGTGGCAATATTGTTAAGCAACAATACAATACTAATCAATGTACCCCTGGACCAACTGATAAATATTAACAGCTTGGGATTAAAAATCAACATCTTGTAACAATATTTGTCTCCTGTTGTACTTTCATGTAAGTTTTCTAATATCACTTGTGAGGCAAGTACTCTCCCCAAACATATTTATCTCAAAACTCGTCTAGTCCTTAGACCTAAATATATATATACAGAGAGAGAGAGAGAGAGAGAAAGGCAAAATACATGCAATCCTAAGAAAAGAGTCAGAGCAGCCCTGAATGTTAGACATTCTTTATTTCAGCTGGCGTGGACTCTTGAAAAAGGAAGGGGTGATGGAAAGCTAGTCTAAGGAAATGAAAGGGACAAAATGGTCAAAACATAAAGTGTGAACTTTTTTGTTATTTTCCTGGGTTAAAACAATGAAAATAAGAAAGTAGACCATGGAAAACACTTGCTGGACAATTGGCAAAAATCTAGGTATCAACTAGAGATTTGATGATATCAACTAGAGATCAACAAGTGCTTGGGCGCCTTCTTAATGATGGTACCATTTTTGTGATTATGTAATAAAATTTCCTTACTGTTAGGAATTAGAAGTTATTAAGCATGAAGTGTCATGATAATTATATGTTTTCAAAAATATGTGTGTATAAAAAGAGAGAAAAAGAGAAAGACATACATACACAGAGAGACAGAGAGAAGATCTTAGCAATTGTTAAATAGAGAGTGTGAGTATGTAGTTTGCTACACTTTCAATTTATTTCTGTGTTAGAAATGTATAAAACAAAGTGGTTTGGGGGAAAATACATGAATTGTTGATGTTTAAGCCTGCTATCAGAAGTTCAGTTTGGTTAGCTAAGAATGATGAAGGTTTGAATTATTTCTGCTTGTAAGTAGTTTATTCTTTTGGATCAGTTCACACACTTTAGAAAGTTATTTTCTCTAACACTTCCAGATCAGTGACTTTTTTTAATGCTTAGCAATCATTTTGATGTATTGATTATAGTAATTATCACTGTCCATCTTATCTGGAAAAGTGAAATGCTTAGGTTTGCTTTTAAAGTTCCAAAATTGCAGCCAAATCTAACATTGTTATTTTACATTAGGCATCAGTATACAAAAAAACAAAGTTAGTAGGGAAGCTAAAACCACCTGTTAGGGTATTTGTTCTGCCTGGGTAGGATGATCTTATAATATACCTATAGAGGTTACTTGCCAATTTCTCCTGAGGAATGGGTTTACAAGAATTCACAGATGACAAATGACTATAATATATTAATAAAATGCAAGAATTTCAGGTGGATCTAAAAGTAGGGGCTGATGATTCACTAATCAATACAGGGTGCATGCACTGTAAAAAATTTAATAGATAGAATGCCACTAAAAGATGGAGTTTATCATTCCCACTCATGAAATAAAAGTACCTTCTCTGTTTCTGCCTCTTTGTTTTTCTCTGTCTCTTTCTCCCTCCCTCCACTCTAAAATCCTCCAATCTTCCCCTGAATAAATCAGTCTCAAGTTAGCATTTTTACTTCAATCCTTACCTTAATTTCTTTTTCAGGTTAAAGTAGAATGAATGCATAATTTTGTTCTCTTTTGTTTGGAGAAGAAAACCTGATCTTCTCCATTTATTATTTATAGTTTATAGATTGAGAGCTGATTGTAAAAAAGGCATCACTCAAAACTGAACCAGTATAAGTTGTGTAACGAAAAGAACATTTGTTAATGGTAATAAATAAAAATCATTTTTAAATGAAATAATCATTCCAAAGTTTGACATTTTGTAATGGACTTTCAAAATTTCACTGACCCAGGAGGAAATGTAAATAATTCTGGACTTTTCATCCTAAAATGAAAATGACTTGAGATATGGTTAGATCATAAATGTACAATGGTTGTAAGTCTATTTGTGAAATGAGAAACAGAAACACAAACAAAATTCTTTTAATCATTTAAAAAACCATAATTAATACAGTATTAACCTGGCTGAGTTCTAGCCCCAACGTAGTAACTATTTAGTTTTGCCTAGGCCTATTCTGCAGTCCCCCAGCTGTGACAACCTCTGACTCCTACAAAGGTAGGTGTCTCCATTATATATACATATATATATTTATGTATAAATATATATATTTATATATATGTATATATGTATATATAAATGTATATATTTATATATAAATGTATATATTTATATATATAAATGTATATATATATAATATTATATACATATATTTTGAGATGGAGTTTTTTGCTCTTGTTGACCAGGCTGGAGTGCAATGGCACAATCTTGGCTCACCGCAACCTCTGCCTTCTGGGTTCAAGCAATTCTCCTGCCTCAGCCTCCCGAGTAGCTGACATTACAGGCCCATGCCACCATGCCTGACGAATTTTTGTATTATTAGTAGAGATGGGGTTTCACCACGTTAGTCAGGCTGGTCTTGAACTCCTGACCTAAGGTGATCCAACCGCCTTGGCC
Organism: Homo sapiens; assembly: GCF_000001405.40. Classification (NCBI taxonomy): domain Eukaryota; kingdom Metazoa; phylum Chordata; class Mammalia; order Primates; family Hominidae; genus Homo; species Homo sapiens. Next base: position 41,975,691 of record NC_000011.10, on the reverse strand, counting down.
TCCCAAAGTGCTGGGATTAGAGGCGTGAGCCACTGTACCCGGCAGGTGTCTCCATTTTAAATAATCAGGCACCTGGTCAGGCAGGGCAGCCTGAAGCACACTGATTAAAGTGCCTGGCACCTAATGATTGGATAGCAGATGGGAACAGGCTTCCATAAACAAAAAATATATATATATACCTTTTTTCTCTACTGCTGGATTCTTTCATAATCACAGTTTATTGAATGCTTTTGTGTCAGGTAATTAACATTTTTCTAATAATAGTAGACAATATTTTAGTAACATAAGTAACAATATAGGTAATATACTGCTAATAGTATAGGTAATATTTTCCTATTTTATAAATAGGGAAAATGAAAGATATAATTAGTGTATTAACATCTTCAATATTTCGGGACAGCAAATATTTGTTGGGTACATATAATAGCAAGCTCCAAACCAAGACTATTTTATTACTTTAAGAAAATAACCTGAGGAAAAAGGAATTTTTAACCTTAATTCAATTGTGTTGGTTCCCTTTGATACAAAATCACTAGCACAAACACTTCACAGGTTCCAGATGACATTATTGCTCTGAAACATAAGAATGATGACAAGAAGAAACAAATAAATATTGCATATGATACTTGCATTAGTGTAGATATATTAAGGAGTTGTAGTAATTCTTTTGAAATTTGGTTTCTTGCCTTGTAGATCTCTCACCAAAATCAAGTATGAGTAATTCAATGTACGCATGCAGTCGTAGCATTTTAGAACTAAAAGGACTTTGGGGACACCGTCCAGTTCAGTGATTCAAAGCCTAGTAGAGTGTGATGTTTCTTTTTTAATGTCAACCCACTGACTTCGTAGGATTCGCACTTTTATTGTATGGTCCTATGAAAGTGTAAAATACAGGTAGTCGACCCAATCCAAGGGGACATGAAAGACTTTCTAAAATGTGGCACATATACACCATGGAATACTATGCAGCCATAAAAAATGATTGAGTTCACGTCCTTTGTGGGGACATGGATGAAATTGGAAATCATCATTCTCAGTAAACTATCGCAAGAACAAAAAACCAAATACCGCATATTCTCACTCATAGGTGGGAATTGAACAATGAGAACACATGGACACAGGAAGGGGAACATCACACTCTGGGGACTGTTGTGGGGTGGGGGGAGGGGAGAGGGATAGCATTGGGAGATATACCTAATGCTAGATGAAGAGTTAGTGGGTGCAGCGCACCAGCATGGCACATGTATACATATGTAACTAACCTGTACATTGTGCACATGTACCCTAAAACTTAAAGTAAAATAATAATAAATTAAAAAAAAAAGAAATTCCAGGCGGAGCTGATTTACCTATGACTGAGGGAAAAAAAAATCAAATTTTACTGATAATAGTAATGCTCCAAATGAATTAATGACACATCTGGTCAATAACTAAAGAGCTTAAATAAACAAAACATAAGAAATCTGAGCAACAAAATTTGCGGTCTTTACTTTTGAATAGCTACCCAAGAAAAGGTTTTAAAGGTAAAAGTTATGAGTAATGTCATCACAATAAGCTCTTGTTTAAAATTATTTTCTTTTATGTATAATTAGGTTTATGTTTCATGTCTTTTTAAAGCCTTATAAAAGATTTAATTATCACATCTATTCTTCAATGTGGAAATATTAAATATTGTTGGTTGTAAAATAAAAAAAAAAAGTGTAAAATACAGGTAGTCGACCCAATCCAAGGGGACATGAAAGACTTTCTAGAAGTGTACTTGATCTGAAATAGTAAATTGAAGAGTAAGAGGTAACCAACCAAAGGCAGGGTGAGGGAGGTGATCAAGAGAATTCCAGGCAGACAAACAGAAGGCCCTCCTGAGGAGAGTAAGTAAAGCATATCTAAACAATGGGAAGTACCAAATGACTAAGACAAAGAGATGCCAATGTGAAGCTCAAGTGCTGAGACACTGTAGCCACCACCAAAAACAATATACAGAATATTTCTATCACCCTCCCACACTTTTCTTATAATCTTTGTAGTCTATCCGCTACATCCTGGCCTAAGATGACCAATTGTCTTCTTTCCACCACTATAGACTAGTTTTGACTGTTCTAGAATTTCATGTGTGGAATTATGCTGTATGTAATCTTTTGTATTGTCCTTCTCAGAATAAATTTTTTGAGTAGCACTCATGTTGCCACATGTATCCGTTTTTTAAAAAATTTATAAATATTATTACATGGTATATTATAATGTATTTATTCATCTCTTGGTAGACATTAGGCTTTCTTTCTAGTTTAGATCTATTATGGATAAAAATTCTATAAGAATTTGGATACAATTTGTTTTGTGAGCATATGTTTTTATTTCTCATATATCTGAGAGTGGAATTACTGGATTGTGGGTTAGTATATGAATTATTTTCTTTCCTACTAGCTACTACTGATAATTCCTCCAGTTGTTCAACATCCTTCCCAACAATTGGTATTGTCCTTCTTTTTCAATTTTAGCCATTTCAGTGGAAGTATATGCTGTTTCTAATTGTGAGTTTAACACGGATTTATCTAATGACTAATGAGGGTTAGCATTTTTACATGTGTTAACTGGTCTTCTGTATTTCTTATTTTGTGCTTTTTTTCATTTTAATTCAGTTTTGTCATCTTACTATAGTGGTAGGAGTTCTTTAAATATTTTGAATAAAACTCACTGTTAGATAAATGGATTAAAAATATTTTCTCTCCAGTCTATAAAATGCCTTTTAGTTTCATAAAGTTGTATTTTGAAGAACAACAGATTTTCATAAAGCCCAATTTACCAATATTTTCTCATTAGCTGTACTACTTTTACCTTATCTAAGACATTGTTGCTTACCTCAAGGACACTCACACTTTTTTCCTACATTTTCTTTAAGCAATTTTGTAGTTATCTAATTTACACTAAGATTTGTTTCCATCTTGGCTTAATTTTTGTTAATATTATGAAGCAAAGGTTGTGAATACTTTTTTCTAGATAAATATTGTTTTAAACACCATTTGTTAACAAGACAATACTTTACCATTGAGTTTACATGGGCATATTTGTCAAAAATTTGACCAAATGAATGTATATTTTGGAACTCTATTTAACATCATTTATCTTTACAGCTACCTTTATGCTAAACTGTACTATTGTAACTATTATAAATTCAAGTAGTATAAGTTAGCCAATTTTGAAATTTTCATCTATTCCAGGTCCTTTTGCATTTCTATATAAACTTTTGAATGAACTTAGAATATACTTGTTTTTTTAATTACAATAGTATTGATCGTTATTGAATTAAATATACAGAGCAATTTGAGAAGCATCAATATTTTAATAATATTGAATCTTAAAATCCATGAATATGAATGCATGTCTCTTTTTACTATAGGTCATCTTTAATTCCTCTCAGCAATATGTTCTAACTTTAAGTCTGTATGTTTTTACGTTTTATTTTAAACTTATCAGAATTCCATGTATTTAGATGTTGTTATAAATTATGTATGTTTTAATAAGAAATAATTTATTATTAAAATATATAATTCTATAAGTTTTGAAAAACAATATATTCATGAAATAACCATCACTATATGAAAATATGTAACAGTTTCCTCTCCCCAAATAATTCCTTCATGACTTTTATATCAAGTGCTTTTTCTACGCACAGAACCTAGAAGCAAGTCATCTGTTTTCTGAACCTATAATTTGCCTTTTCAGAATGTCATATGAATGAAATGGTATGATATGAAACCTTTTGATTCTGGCTTCTTTCATTTGGCATAATACACTTTAGATCCACCCATGGTGTTGAGTATGTATCGGTAATTCATTCCTTTTTATTATTGCGTAATATTCCATTGTATGTATAATAAGCCTCAAGATCCCCCAGCTAAATTGGGAACCCAGTCCCAGAGCAGCTAGAAACCCTGCCCTAACATGAAATGAAGGGCAGCTGGGCATGAGTGTTTAAGTGTGCTCTTCATGGCATCCTTTTTTTGTCTGTCCAATTCATGACTGTCTGGCCACCGCTCTGGTGCTGAGAGCCTGCACTTGTGTCCTCCAGGCGTCGTGGAGAAAATCCAGCCTCAGCCATCCTTTGGTTCTTCAGATGGAAAGATCACATCAATACATCGTCACAATAGAAAATAAGGCTAATTTGTGAGAACAATCTTCTGTCTTCAGGTCACAAAAACAGGAATGAATAGTCAAGTAGAGAGAGGAAGAGAGAGAGGAAACTCACTGTGTGTATTTTTTGGGGAATAAGTTTGTGGGTAATGTCTGAATTGTCCATTTAAAGGAAGTAGTGGAAAAGTGGGCAGCCACATCTGCTAGACAGAAGAGTTGCCTCTAAGTTCTTTTCTGGCCACAGGCTTGTACCATCTGGGTGTGATGTTCTACTTCAAATGCCTAGACTGCAACCTTTGCTGTTACAACAAACCACGTTTATCCACTTACCCGTAGAAGAATATTTGAGATAGTTCATTTTAAAAATCATATATAATGTCATTATAACATTCATATACAGGTGATTCTGTGAATATACATTTTGACTTGTCTTGGGGTAAATATTTAGAAGTGAGATTTCTGTTGTTGTTGGGTATGTTCAACTTTATTAAACACTCCAAAATTATTTTTCAAAGTAGCTATACCAGTTAACATGTTCATCGCAGTGTGTAAGAGTCACAGTTGCTCCTTCTGGTATGTCATTTTGCAAGTATTCATCAATTATAGTATATGTGTATTTGTATCTGATGTGGTTTTTAATTTGCATTTTTCTAATGACTAGTGATGTTAAGCATCTTTTCAATGTTCATATTTGCCTTCTAAACATCTTGTTTTGATAAAGTATTCACATTTTTTCACATTTTATAATAGGTCATTTGCTTTTTGCTGAGTTTTAAGGTTATATTTGGGTTTACATAAAGAGTTTTTTTATATTTCCAGGATATAAGGTTTTTATCATATATGTGCTTTGCAAATATTTCCTCCTAGTCTGTGGCATTCCTTTTCATTTGCTAAAGTATTTTCCCAGCAGATTTCAATTTCAATAAAGTTCACTTTAGTTTTTTTTCATTAATCATGCTTTTGATGTCCTATCTGATAGTTTCCCAATTCAATTGTACAAACTTTGTTATGCATTGTTCCAGAAATTTTACAGTTTTAACTTTTGTATTTGCTTCTATGACCCATTTTGAGTTCTTTTTTAAATGGTATGAGATAGGATATACATATTTGGAGCTCATTGTTACACCACCACCAGTTGGAAAGGTTACCTTTCTTTCATTAAATGGCCTCTGTGCCTTTATCAAAATCAAATGAATATCCAGCCATTTAGTAATGAATACATGTATGGATGTATATACATGTATTTTCTGGGTTATTTATTCGGTTTTATTGGTCAATGAGTCTAAACTTTCACCAATGACACATTATCTTGACTACTATTGGGTTTTCTTTTTGTGGTAAGTCTTAAATCAGGTAGTCCTCCAACTTTGTTCTTTTTAAAAATTATTTAGGCAATTCTTGATTCTATGTCTTCTCCTATGAAAGTTAGAATAACATTGTCAGTTTCTACAAACAAATTCTGTTGTAATATTTTATTTGGAGTGTAATTAATATGCAGATCAGTTCAGAAAGTGCTAACATCTAAACTAGATTGAATCGTTCAAGTCAGTACAGCTTTCCATTGATTAATTTTTATTTATTTCATTGGTGTTTTGCAGTTTTCAGTAATAAAATTTTGCACAGATTTTGTACATTTTTCCCTAATATTTTTAGGTTTTCTTTACTGTTATTTTAATTGGTATTTTTAATTCAGTTTACTCTATAAGAATACAATTGTAGGTGTTTATTAGCCTTGTACTCTTGCAACTTTGTTAGACAAGTAACTTTTTTTGTAAAGTCCTTGGGATTTACTATGTAGATAATTTTGTGATCTGCAAATACAGACTATTTTATTTTCCTCTTTTCAATCTATAGGCTTTATATTTTTTCTTTCCTCTTTGACTAGCTGGGACCTCCTGCATAATATTGAATAAAGGTGGTGAGAACAAACATCTTGTTTTGTTCCCAATAATAAGGGGAAAACATTCAGCTTTCACCAATAGGTATGAAGTTAACTGAAGTTTCTTAAGAAGATGCTCACTTCAGGTTAAGGAGTTCTCTTTTATTCTTAGGGTGCTAATATGGATTGATATTTTCTCTTGCAAAAGGAGTTTTTGAATCTATTAAGAACATGGTGTTTTATTTACTCCTTAGTCCATTGGTATGACAAACCATACTAATTCAGTTCCAAATGCTGAGCCAACCTTGAATTCTCAATATAAATAGTGCTTGATAACTATAGTGAGCGAATTAGTAAACTTGATGAGGGTGAGAAAATAACTGGTTAACTTGAAATGTCAATAGCACTTACCAAAATTGAAACACAAAGAGAAAAGGGTAGAGAAGAAAAGGAGAGTTCATTCAAAATTGTGAGACAATAGCAAATAATATAACATTTGTCATTAGAATTTCAGAAGAAGAGAGGGTATATGGAAGAAAAAAGAATTAAAGAGATAATAACAGATACATTTCCAAAAATTGTAAAAGACATTATACCATCATCCAAAAAGCTCAGAAAAACAGAAGCAGAGAAAAATAGCAAGAACTAAAAGTAAATACATCTAAACACATTACATTTAAAATACTGGAAATCAAGATAAGTAAGATAATCTTGAGGAAAAAAAATCCAAAGAAAAAAGTCACATTACATACTGAGGAATAAAGATAAGTATTACAAAAAAACTTTTCCTCAGAAGATACATAAATTAAAACATAATGTAGTATCATCTTAAAAGTTCGAGAAAAATAAAACCATCAATCCAGAATTATGTACTCAGTAAAACATCTTTCAAAATATAGAAAGTGTGTTTTGACCAATATAAACCAATTTATTTTCAGTAGATTTGAACAACAAAAATGTTCAAAAACTTTTTCAGGTAGAAGAAGTATGATACTATACAAAAAAAAGAATCCATACAAAAATTTATATTGATGTGTTTGTCTTATTGTTGTGCTGTAGTAACTTTTAATACGTTCTGGTTACAATTCTTTGTTATATATATATAATATATATTATATATACATATATGATATATAATATATATTATATATACATATATTATATATAATATATATACACACACACCAAAAAATTAAATTATGAAATGTAATATGTACACATACATGTATATATATATGTTTATATATGTATATATACATTGAAAAAACTATGTATATACCTATATATACATTCTTTGTTATATATATACACATATCTATAATTGAAACGTAAAACAAAAAAATAGTATGTCAATGAAAAAGAAAGAAAGGAGAATGATTATGATCTGATATGTGGTATAATAGGCTGAATAACGGTGCCCAAAGATATCGTGGTCCTAATCCCCTGGAACCTGTAAATGTTACCTTATATGGAAAAACATTTTCTGCAGAAACAATCCAATTAAGCATTTTTTTTTTTTTGAGATGGAGTCTCGCTGTCGCCCAGTCTGGAGTGCAGTGGTGCAATCTCGGCTCACTGCAGGCTCCGCCTCCCGGGGTTCACGCCATTCTCTTGCCTCAGCCTCCCGAGTAGCTGGGACTACAGGTGCCCGCCACCATGCCCGGCTAATTTTTTGTATTTTTAGTAGAGACGGGGTTTCACTGTTAGCCAGTATGGTCTCGATCTCCTGACCTCGTGATCCGCCCGCCTCGGCCTCCCAAAGTGCTGGGATTACAGGCGTGAGCCACAGCGCCCGGCCAAATTAAGGATTTTGAAGTGGGGAAAATAGCTTGGATTATTTAGCTGAGTCTAAATCTAATCACAATTATCCTTACAAATGGGAGTTGGGGGAGATTTTACAGTGAAGACAAGAAGACAATGTGATCTTAGAGGTAGACTGAAATGATGTTGCCGCTCTGTTTGAATGCAGGAAATGCAACTTCAGATGTTGGAAAAAGCAAGTAACTGTTTCTTTCCTAGAGCCTCTGGAGGAAATATGAGCCTTCAGAAAGGTAGATTTTGGCTCAACACGAATGATTTTGGACTTCTGGCTCCAGAGCTATAAGAAAATATATGTGGGTATCGCTTTAAGCCACCAAGTTTATAGTAATTCTCATAGCGCACAGTAAACTCATATATATGGAACTTCAAAACATCCATAATAGCTAAGACATTTGTAAAGAAGTTGATCATATTGGGATTATTTGCTTTACCAAATATTAAGATTTACTATAAAGTTACAGTTTATAAAATCATGATATTAGTGTAAGGCTAGATAAATAAGCAAATGGCACAGAATAGAAAATCCTCCAAAATAACCAACTGCATAAGGAAATTTCATATATAATAAACTTATGAAATTTGCAGTGCAAAACAATAGGGATAATATGGCCTTTTCAATAAATGGTGCTATGGAAAATAATGAAGTACAACCATACACCATTTACAAACACAATTCTAAGTAGATTATAGAACTAAAGTCAAAGACAAAACTGTAAAGAAATTATAATAGAGACATTATAATGAAGTTAGGGTAGGGAAATTTTTCTGTTAGGAAACAGAAAGCATTAATCATAAAGAAAAAGGTTGATAAATTAATTTAGTTTACATATAAGTATGTTCATCAGCAAAAGTCACCATTAAGACAGTAAAAACTCAAACTACAGAGAAGTATTTGCAACACTTTAAGCATCCAAAGCCTTGTAACTTTGTGTGATGCTCAAACCTACTAAGCACTAATAAAAAGCAAGAAAATTTAGTAGAATCATGGTCAATTTCCTTAAACAGGCTTTTATCAAAAAAGCATTTTCAAAGTGTTCCAAATACATAAATCCCCTCAATCATATTAGTCATAAAGAAAATGCAAATTAAAATCATAACAAAATACCAGTTTATATCCATGAGGATAGCTAATTTTTTGAAAGTCTTATAACACCAGGTATTGAAAACGATTTAAATAGAATGGAAATTCTCATATATTACTGAGGGAACTATAAATTAGTACAAATATTTTGTAAAGAGTTTGGTATTATCTAGTACATTCCATATTATGTATAACCTGCAACTCCTTATCAATGTATATTACCAAAAAAAAAAAAGTTACTTAGCATGTGGGCTCCAAAGGATAAGTTCAAACATTATTTTAGCATCTTTTATAGTAGCCCTAAACTAGAACTAATCCAAATGTTCATCAAAAATTTAACGGATAAGTACACTGTGGTATGTTCATAAAATTGAGTTTTAGACAGTAACTAAAGTGAATAAACTATGCCTTACATGACAATATAGATGGATTTCACAAACATAATGTTGAGAAAAAAATCCAAACATGAAATAATTCCTATTGAATAATGTATTTAATATAGAGTTCAAAGATGAAGAACTAACCTATGGTCTTAAAGGATATACACACATGTGCTAAAATAATGAAACAAAGCAAGAGGTTGATTACATTACATGTCAGTAAAGTAATGATGGTTAGCAGGATATCAAGGAGCTGTGATTGGGGAGAGGCTTAGGAGGATGTAGCTATGAAATGTTGGCAATGCTTTGCCCACTTTTTGATGGGGTTGTTTGATTTTTTTCTTGTAAATTTGTGTAAGTTCTTTGTAGATTCTGGATATTAGCCCTTTGTCAGATGAGTAGATTGCAAAAATTTTCTCCCATTCTGTAGGTTGACTGTTCACTCTGATGGTAGTTTCTTTTGCTGTGCAGAACCTCTTTAGTTTAGTTAGATCCCATTGTCTATTTTGGCTTTTGTTGTCATTGCTTTTGGTGTTTTAGTCATGAAGTCCTTGCCCATGCCTATGTTCTGAATGATATTGCCTAGGTTTTCTTCTAGGGTTTTTATGGTTTTAGATCTAATATTTAAGTCTTTAATCCATCTTGAATTAATTTTTGTATAAGGTGTAAAGAAGGGATGCAGTTTTAGCTTTTTCAGTTTTCCCAGTACCATTTATTAAATAGGGAATCCTTTCCCCATTTCTTGTTTTTGTCAAGTTTGTCAAAGATCAGATAATTGTAGATGTATGGTATTATTTCTGAGGACTCTGTTCTGTTCCATTGGTCTATATCTCTGTTTTGGTACCAGTACTATGCTGTTTTGGTTACTGTAGCCTTGTAGTATAGTTTGAAGTCAGGTAGCGTGATGCCTCCAGCTTTGTTCTTTTGGCTTAGGATTGTCTTGGCAATGTAGGCTCTTTTTTGGTTCCATATGAATTTTAAAGTAGTTTTTTCCAATTCTGTGAAGAAAGTCATTGGTAGCTTGATGGGGATGGCATTGAATCTATAATTTACCTTGGGCAGTGTGGCCATTTTCATGATATTGATTCTTCCTATCCATGAGCATGGAATGTTCTTCCATTTGTTTGTATCCTCTTTTATTTCCTTGAGCAGTGGTTTGTAGTTCTCCTTGAAGAGGTCCTTCACATCCCTTGTAAATTGGATTCCTAGGTATTTTATTCTCTTTGAAGCAATTGTGAATGGGAGTTCACTCATGATTTGGCTGTCTCTATTTGTCTGTTATTGGGGCCTGTCATGGGGTGGGGAGAGGGGGGAGAGATGGCATTAGGAGGAATACCTAATGTAAATGATGAGTTAATGGATGCAGCACAACAACATGGCACATGTATACATATGCAACAAACCTGCACGTTGTGCATGTGTACCTCAAAACCTAAAGTATAATAATAATAATAATAATAATAATAATAAAAAGGAATTTTGGCAATGCTTGATTTCTTAAACTGAGTGTTGGCTGTGTAAGTATTGTATTTATGATGATATGGCATGGTATACATTTGCATATTTTCTGTGTGTGTGTGCCAGTTCATAACTTAATTTTTTATTTCATATTAAAACATAAATATAGGAAGACTAGTTAAAGGCTACTGTAATTCTCTAAGGAAAAGAGGATGGTGGATTGAAGAAGATTAGAAGTAAAAGGCTTTAAGGGATATCAAGAGATAGTTATAGGGAATAAGTGTTTGGAAGGAAATGCTATTGTTCTTCATCATGAAAGTAGCAAATACTTACAGAGTGGTTACTATCTGTATATGCTTTGCTGTGTAGGTCAAGTATCATTTTCTCCATATGGATAACCTATTAGCCTACTGTCTTTTATTAATAAGTATTTAAACTTCATATAAACCCTATTTATTATTATGCTGGTAAAGAAATTTAGGCAAAGGATGACTAAACAACTTTCAAAAGCGCAAGACAGCATAAGAGCCAAGCTTTTACATTCAATTTCACCTAAAGACTAACAGTAATGATGATTAGCATAAACATTATTACAACATGACCACTGTTTGTCAGTATAACTAATAACAGTGTGTCAAAGCATGACATAAGTGCCTTAAATGCACAGTCTCATTTAGCCATCCAACAAACCTGAGTAGGAGTACCTACAATTATCTCTTTTTACGTATGAGGAAACTAAGTCTTACAGACATGAAGAGCAAATTACTGGTAAGGGATGAATCAAGGTCTCAAAGCACAGATCTCTCCAAAACTCAGGCTCTAAATTATTCATCTCAATTGCTTTAGAAATATGTTAAAAATGAACATAGATTTGAAATTTTAATTTTTACTTTTCAATGACAAAGCAATGGAAATTGTAAAGGTTTTTATTTGGGTGTTTCAACATAGACAACCCTTGCTTCAAATCTCATCACAAAGGGAAGAGATAGGTTGAAAACAATCTAAAAACCCCAAATTTGTATTATTTCCATTCATTCATCAGCTTTTCATATTCCATCTGTAACACTGACAGTTATCACCATGTGGGTATTTTAGTATTAAACTTATCTGAACTTTTTAATTCCAATTTCTTGCTTTGCTGCAGAATTCTCTATCATAATTTGAGATGCAAATTTAAATGTAGCAGTTAACTAAGAAGTCACTCTATGCTGTAGCTACAAAAGAAAATGTTATTATGCACAGCAAGGCTCTACTGCTTTGTATTTCCTGTTTCACTGGTTTTATTTTATAACTCTGCATCTTTGGCTCTTTCTCTTGTAATAAATCCCTGGCATTCTGATAACTTGCCAATATTAATTCTTTGTCATTAAATAAGTTTTACTTCCCTAGTGACGTTTCTCCTCCTGGAACTCTGACCTTTGAGACTCTGCTGAAATAATTATTATTGCCAGTAGCAGACATTCAACCCTCATCAGAATGCTCTGACAGACACTTCCTTTTTTTGTTTGACATCAGACATTTCACTTTCTGACATCTACAATTTTGTTAGAATTTCGGCAGCTGCCTCAAGACTGCATTTCATCCCTACTGATGGCATCAATGTGAAGCATGCAAAAATGAGTCTGTATCATTAATGCATTAACCTACCTGTTAAATAATGTTTTTGGTGGTGATATTTGATGAAACCAAATAATTTTATGTAATTGTGCCACCAAATCCAAAGTCCTAGATTATTTTTCCAAAGTGTCTGTTTATATACAGTCTTTGTGTTGTACATGTCTCCTCGACCTACATTTATTTATTTACGTACTTATTTCTTCAGCAAACATTTATTGAGCACCTGTTACATATATCATGAAAAGTACAAGAATGGAATAGTAATGAAGAATAAAATGGTGCTTGATAAAAAACTAGTTGCTCTGAAAACATTTGTCGAATAAATGAAAAAATGAATGAATGAACACAATAACATAGACACTGGATATTGCATACCTTCCCAAGAGTTTGCCTAACCTTCTCATGGGAGAAACCCAGAATTCCATCATCTCAGGGAGATTACTGGCACAGGCAGGGAAATGGGCACGTCTCACCTCTGGTTCTAGAGTAAGAAGCAAAGGGAATAATATCGGAACAACTATTGAGAGTAAACTTCAATGTCTTAACTGAAGAAGTGGAAAGAAAATAAGAAAACAGTTTACTTAAAGAATGAAAGAAATAGAAAGAGAACACGTAAACAAACATTCTGAAACTACTTCATGATGCTAAGGTATGCAGAGATGGTATTAGTGGTAGAAGAGGTGGAAAAAGAGCGTCTGTCATTTGCAACAATGTGGTTGAACCTAAAAGACATTATGGTATGTGAAATAAACCAGGTACAGAAAGACAAATGAATAATAATCTCACTTAAATGTGGAATCTACAAAAGTCAAAATTATTCAGAATCAGAGAGTAGAATGGTGGATACCACAGACTGAGGAATAGGGGAATTGGGGAAATGTTGATCAAAGGATACAAAATTTCAGTTAGGAGAAAAAATGTCAAGAGATCCATTGTACACCATGGTGACTATAGTTAATAACAATATATTGTATACTTGACAATTGCCAAGAGAGTGGATTTTAAGTGTCCTTTCCATGCACACACACAAAAATAAGTATATGAAGTAATACATATGTTTATTAGCTTGATTTAGCCATTACACAAAATGTACATAAACATCATGTTTTGATCAACACCATAAACATATACAATTTTTACTTGTCAGTTGAAAGATGAAATGACAGAGCTTTGGGAGGCTGAACTGGGTGGATCACTTGAGGCCAAGAGCTGAAGACCATCTTGGACAACACAGAGATCCCATCTCTACAAAAATTTTAAAAACAGCCAGACTTGGTGGTGCAGCCTGTAGTCCTAGCTACTTGGGAGACTGAGATGGGAGGATTGTTTGAGCCCAGGAATTAAAGATTACAGTAAGCTATGATTACACCACTGCACTCCAACCTGGGTGACAGAGTAAGACCTTATCTCATAAAATAAAGGAAATAAAAATTTTGAAGCATATGATACTGGTTTAGAAAAGGGTAGCCAGTTCCATGTTCCGTGCAGTTCCCAATTATAATTACGTGACATGCAATCCTCTTTCTTGTTTTATATTATTACAGAGAGAATGAGCTATTATTGAGAGGTCTGAAAGCTACAAATTTGAAGATACAACTAGAATCAAATAAGAACTCACAAAGTATAGTTGATCAGTGTACAATACAGTGGCATGAATTACTAATATTTAAGGCATTTGAGGTCCATCACCATTAATGATTCTTCCCACAAGAGAGTCTGAGCATAGTAATCACCTCTGAGAAATAGCACCAATGGCCTATGAGTTGATGAAAATGAAATTTTTTATCTGACCATTCTAGAATTTCATTAATAGGGAGAATATGTATTTACTACTTATGATACTTCCTCTGGTTGCATCCACTTCTTACCCATAACATCTAGCTTCTGATCCCAATACTCTGCAGAAACAACCTTCATAAAAGGTTTTAATAAGGTGTCTCACACCTGTAATCCCAGCATTTTGGGAGGCCCAGGTGGGCGGATCACGAGGTCAGGAGACCCAGACCATCCTGGCTAACATGGTGAAACCCCGTCTCTATTAAAAACATAAAAAAATTAGCCAGGCATGGTGGGGGAGTGCCTGTAGTCCCAGTTACTCTGGAGGCTGAGGCAGGAGAATAGCATGAACCCGGGAGGCAGAGGTTGCAGTGAGCCGAGATCGCGCCACTGCACTCCAGCCTGGGGGACAGAGCGAGACTCCGTCTCAAAAAAAAAAAAAAAAAAAAAAAAAAGGTTTTAATAACTTTCTATTAGCACAATTCAAAAGCATCAACTCAGTTCTTGCACATTTGGCCTCTGCAACACTTGACACTACTGACCATTTCATTTTTCTTAAAACTTTCACTTTCTTTGGCTGCAATGCATATTCATCATTTTTTGGTTGTTTAACATCCGATTCCTCTTTCAATTTCCAACTTTTATTTTAAGTTCAGGAGTACCTATGCAGGTTTGTTATGTAGGTAAACTGCGGATCAATGGGGGTTTGGGGTACAGGTTGTTTCATTGCCCAGGTAATAGACATAGTATCTGATGTGTAGTTTTTTGTTTCTCTGCCTCTTCCCACCCTCCACCCTGAAGTATGCCCAGGGTGTCTGTTGTTCCCCTCTTTGTGTCCATGTGTTTTCATTATTCAGTTTTGACCTATAAGTGAGAACATGTGGTATTTGGTTATCTGTTCCTGAAGTTCTTGAAACTTTGCTGAAGTTGTTTATTAAACCAAGCAAAGTTCTTGAAACTTTGCTGAAGTTGTTTATCAAATCAAGGAACTTTTGGGCAGAGACTATGGGGTTTTCTAGGTATGTATTCGTATCATCTGCAAACAGGGATAGTTTGACTTTCTTCCTGTTAGGATGCCTTGTATTTCTTTTTGTTTTTGTTTTTGAGTGGAGTCTTGCTCTTTCACCCAGGCTAGAGTGCAGTGGCGTGCAAACTGCGCCTCCCAGGTACAAGCAATTCTCCTGCCCCAGCCTCCCGAGTAGCTCGGGACTACAGACACGTACCACCACACCCGGCTAAGTTTTATATTTTTAGTAGAGACAGAGTTTCGCCATGTTGGCCAGGCTGGTCTCAAAATCCTGACCTCAAGTGATCTGCCCATCTTGGCCTCCCAAAGCACTGGTATTACAGGCATGAGTCACCGTGCCCAGCCTGATGCCTTGTATTTCTTTCTCTTGCCTGATTGTTCTGGCCAGGACTTTCTAATACTATATTGAATAGGAGTGGTGAGAGAGGGCATCCTTATCTTGTTTTGGTTTTCAAGGGGAATGCTTACAGCTTTTGCCCATTCAGTATGATGTTGGCTGTGGGTTTGTCATAGATGGCTCTTATTATTTTGAAGAATTTTCCTTCAATGCGTAGTTTGTTGAGAGTCTTTAACACAAAAGGATGTTGAAGTTTATTGAAAGCCTTTTCTACATCTCTTGAAATGATCTGTTGTTTTTGCTTTTTATTTTGTTTACATGGTGGATCACATTTTTTGATTTATGTATATTGAACCAACCTTGCATCCTAAGGATAAACCCTACTTGATTTTGGTGGATTAGCTTTTTCATGTGCTGCTGGATTTATTTTGCTAGCATTTTGTTGCGGAGTTTTGCATCTATTCTCATCAAGGATATTGACCTGAAGTTGTATTACCCTTTTTTTGTTGTATTGATGCCAGGTTTTGGTATCAGGATGAGGCTAGCCTCACAGAATAATTCAAGGAGGTGTTCCCCTGCCATGATTTTTTGGAATCATTTCAGTAGGGATGGTACCAACTCTTCTTGATACATGTGGCAGAATGCGGTTGTATATATATATACATACATATATATATATGTATATATATATGTGTGTGTGTGTGTGTATATATATATATATATAGATAGATAGATAGATAGATATAGATATGTATATATATCTGGTCCGGGGATTTTTTTTTTTTGTTTTTGGTTGTAGGCTTTCTGATAGTGATTCAATTTTGGAATTCATTATTGTTCTTTTTGGCAATTCAGTTTATGCCTGGATCAGTCTTGGGAGGTTGTTTGTATCGAGGAGTTTAACCATTTCTTCTAGATTTTCTAGTTCTTGTGTATAGAGGTGTTCATAGTGTTTTTTAAGGGTTTTTTGTTTGTTTTTGTTTTTTTTCTGTGGGGTCATTGGTAACTTCCCCTTTGTCATTTCTGATGCTGGTTTTGGATCTTCCCTCTTGTTTTCTTTATTAGTCTAGCTAGTGCTCTATATATTTTATTACTTTTTTCAAAGAACCAAGTCCTGGAATCATTGATGTTTGTATGTTTTTTGGCATCTCAATTTCCTTCAGTTCAGTTCTGATTTTGGTTATTTCTTGTCTTCTGCTAGCTATAGAGTTGGTTTGCTTTTGTTTCTCCAGTTCCTCTACTTCTGAAGTTAGGATGTTAATTTTAAATCTTTGTAACCTTTTTATGTGGGAGTTTAGTGCTATAAGCTTGCCTCATAACACCACCTAAGGTTCATATCAGTATGTGTGGATTTGATCCTGTCATCATGGTCTTAGCTGGTTATTATGCAGACTTGTTTGTGTTGTTTCTTTCAAGAGTCAATGGTCTGTGTACTTAATTATGTTTTTGTAGTGGCTGGTAAAGGTCTTTTCTTTCCATATTTAGTACTCTTTTCAGAACCTTGTGTAAGATAGGTCTGGTTGTAATGAGTTCTCAGAGCATTTGCTTTTCTAAAAAGGATCTTATTTTTCCTTCACTTATGAATCTTAGTTTGGCTGGATATGAAATTCTTTGTTGGAAGTTCTTTTCCTTAAGAACGCTGACTGTATCCCATGATTTCTTCTGGCTGTTCTCCTAATGGGGTTCCCTTTGTAGGTATCCTGCCTCTTTTCTCTAACTGCCTTTAACAATTTTTTCTGTCAGTTCAACCTTGGAGAAGCTGATGATTATGTGTGTTGGGGATTCTCTTCTTGTTTAGTATCTCATAGGGATTCTCTACATTTCCAGAATTTGAATGTTGGCCTCTCTAGCAAGCTTAGGGAAGTTTTCATGAACAATATCCTGAAATATGTTTCCCAAGTTGCTTGCTTTCTCCCCATCTCTTTCAGGGATGTCAGTGAGTCATAAATTTGGTGCCTTTACATAATCCCATATTTCTTGGAGGTTTTGTTCATTCTTATTTATTCATCTTTCTTTAGTTTTGTCTGATTGAATTAGTTTGGAGGACCAGTCCCAGGCTCTGATATGTTTTTCCTCAGTTTGTTCTAGTCTGCTGTTAATATTGCAATTGCATTATGCAATTCTTGTAGATTATTTTTCAACTCTCTCAGATCAGTTTGGTTCTTTCTTATAATGGCCATTTTGTCTATCAGCTCTAGTATTGTCTTATTGTAACTCTTAGATTCCTTGAATCAGGTTTCAGCTTTGTTCTGAATCTTGATGACTTTTTTTACCTATCCATATCCTGAATTCTATTTCTGTCATTTCGTTCATTTCAGCTTTGTTAAGAACCCAAGCTGGGAGACTAGTGTATTCATTTGGAATAAAGAAGACACTCTGGCCTTTTGAGTTGCCAAAGTTCTTGTACTGATTCTTTCTCATCTGTATTGGCTGATGTTCCTTTAACTGCAGTGTAATTTGAAGAAAGTCAGTAGACTTCTGGATGTTTTCAGAGGGCCAAGACTTTCTTCAAGGTCTTTATTTGCAGCTGAATTATTGTCTTTGGTTTCACAGGGGGCTATATTAGCAAAGTATTTTTGATGTTGAAGTTTAGGCTGTAATCCAGTAGATGGCACTTAAGAATAATAGAATAATATCCCCTATGTAGGCTCTTGCTCAGGCGCGTGCCTCCTCTATATGTCCTCACAATTGCATCTGTGCTTTTTCTCAGTTGTCTCAAAGTGTGGGCTCTTCTCCCACTTGAGTGTTGGCTGCAGATATCAGCTTGGCACTCTCAGGCTGCACACCACAGCTCTGGGGTGAGCTCAGGCTTTATATTCCTTCCGCAGCTTGGAAGCAGCACAGTAAGGTACCTTGGGAATGGTTGTGGCAGAGGGCCTTTCACTTGTCACTTGGGACTCCACCCTAGAGAGATGCAGAGCTGCTATCAATCAGTGCAATCTGCCTGGGGTGGGGCAGCTGTGCTGTGGGCTCAAGCTGGGGGAGCCCTGCCTTGTAGAGAGCAGGAAGGGTTAGGTGGTCATGGAGGAGATAGACTAGCCTCCTCTCCTCAGGGCAACTGCAGCTTGCTGGAGGTCAGGCTAAAGCACTCAGGGTCTGTGTTCCTTATTCATTCAGAGGGTGGCAAGAGCAGTACCACTGCAGTGGCAGTGGCAGAGGAGCTCTTGATTGTCTCTGGGAATAGTAGCTCAGAGAAATGTGGGGCTGCTGCTACTAGGAATGTTCAGCCAGTGGGGAGGATGGTTGTACTGCTGGCCTGAGCTGGGGGCTCCGCTTCATTAGGGCTCACAGGGAGGAAAGACTGGGCTCTTCTCTGTATGGTGACTGTGGTGTGCTGAAAGCAAGGGTGAAACCCTCAGCCTCTTTGTTTTTTCCCCAGAACAAGGACAGCAGTGACATAGGGGCTCTCAGTTGCTCTGAGAGCGCCCCTCCCCAGAGAAACACAGAGCCACTACCAGTAGGTATGCTCAGCTGAGGACCAGGCAGCTGTTCTGTGGTCCTGAGCCAGGGGGCCCTGCCTGGTAAAGAGTGGGGAGTGGAGAGCTCAAAGGAAAGAGAGACTGGGCTCCTTACCATATGATGACTGTGGTGTGCTGGAGGTGTAGTGACCAGGCTCTTTGTTCCTTCCACAGTCTGAGGGTGCTTAGGGTGGTACTGCTGCAGCTGCAATGGTGGAGGGGCTGTGGGCTGCCTCTGGTTTTTCCTCCTTGGAGAAATGCAGATCTGCCTCTAAGTGTTCAGATGGGGGCACAGAAGCTGTGGTGAAGTCCCAGGTTGGGAGGCCCCACCCAGTGAGGAGAATCAGGAACAGGGACTCATGTGGAAAATAGTCTGGCTGTTTTTCCTTGAGGCCACAGCTTTGTACTGGAGATCCTCCCAACTCCCTAATCACCACACTCTCTCCAGAGCCTGAGGGCAACAGGAGCTAGAGCTGCAAAATAGCAAAATTGTGGCCTGCCGCTCCTTCTGGGAGCTGCAAACCTACTACCTGCTAGGGAAGTGCAGACCGGCTACCAGCCCCAGAGCCCAGACAGGGCTAGTGTGGCCACGCTAGCACCCCAAGCCAATGGGCCTTGTCCTGTGAGATGCAGTGCAGGTGAGGCCTGCATTTTATTGCAGCTCTGTCTCCTGGATTCAGACCCTTTCCTGGGATCTTGTGAAGGAGCTTGACCTCCCCCATTGCCAGAGCTGCAGTTGCTAATGCAGGGATGCCCAAGGATCCAAGGCTCCCAGGACTCCATGTATGCCTGAGCGGCAGCTGTACCCAGACTCCACGTAGCTCTCTGTGTCAGTCTAGAGGCCCCGGTGGGGAGGCTCACAGGGGGTCTGCTGAGCCAGGGTTGCAAAGGTCCATGGCAGAAGTATGGATCCCCAGGGACTCTCACCATTTCCCAGCGTGAGGGTGCCTCCCCTGGCTCTGTGCCACTCCCAGGTGGGCAGCCATCCCGTCTTACCCCTGTCCATTCTCCGTGGGTCCAGTTGTTTCCTTGATGAACCTCAATGTGTCCATCTGGATGTTTCAGTTGAAGACCAGTGTTTATTCGCCAATCTTTCTTCTCTCCATGAAAACAATGCATAATAGCTTCTTCTACTCAGCCATATTACAAAACTTCCCTCTTCCTCTTTTTAGTTAAGGCCCACTGTTGTGAAGTACAACTTTTCCTTCATTTTAGAAACTGAAAATGCCAGAGACTTATTTTATCAGCCTCCCTGGCAAATAGAAACAAGAGTATATCTAATTCCCACAGTCAGACATATCTTCCCTGGACTTTACATCAGAATTGGCAAGGCAAAAGAGATCAGAATACACAGAATCACTGTAAGAGACAAAGAGCAGCAGAACTGGTCTCTATATGAAAGTTCCAGATGCAGAAATTGCAGAATTTTTGGTGGTAGAATCCAGTGTCCCATGCTGGGATTTTATTGATACAAACTGTGGTGACTATGCCCGGCAGGATTTTCATTATGTCATCACTAGAACAGTTTGATATAATTGTAATTGTTCTTTATGTCTTTACTTACCAAGTCACATGTTGTGTGTCACACATTATCTTAATTGACTCTGCCTCAAGAATAATAGAGCGTATTAACACATGAATATAATTGCATCTAATATTCTGCTCAAAGAAAGCAAAATTTCCCATTCTTTCTGCTCTCTTCCTCTTCCTTCCCCTTTCTCATTAAACATTTTAACTGTTAAGATTTAGATGATAAATATGAAATGGTCAATTATGCTTTAGTTAATATCTCATTAAAGTAGGGGTTACGGATCTAGTTTCGGTTTGGGTTATATCAACTTAATTCCAGAGTTATAAAAAAACTTAAATTAATTTTAATTCCATGGTGCATTTGATGGTTAAATCCCCTATAATACTTCTGACATGTCATAATCTGCCCTTTGTGCAAACACCTTAATTATTATATTTATGATTAAAATTTTAGACCAGGAAGTGACCCTAAAGAGCTTTTCCAACACCACACTTTTGCAAAAGAAGAAAACCAAGGCCAAGAGAGGATAAATGACCAGCTTATGGCTGCATAATCATTAGTGGCTGATCCCTCTCTCTGGGTTCAGTGGTTTATTTCCTGTACCTCTCTGCTTACTCTTGAGGTATGTATAGATGATCCTGACATTAGAACATTTTTCCTTATAATGAGTTCAAATTTATCTTTCTGAAACGTTCTTGCTTCATGGATTCCTAAAAATTAGAGACATGAAGGATGATATTTAATCCTTCTTTGAAAAGACCACTATTAATTCCTTTCTCAGTTTCTGAAAAGTCTGCTCCAGAATGAGGTTTTTCCTAATTCATTCAACTTGGTCCTCATGTTGTCACTCTCTGAGTCACCCTCACCATTCTTGGCAGTCTCCTGGGCACACTCCAATTTATTTTATCAAGTAGTAGCTAGAAATGTTCATAATATTTATGTTGTACTCTCACCAGCTTAGAATTAGTTTTGTTAGTTCCCATGAATAGTGAAATGTCTGAATCTGACATGACTCATGGTCTTAGAAGGAATCTTGGTATGTTGGAGGTGGTTTGGTACAAATAATGAAAGGAGAACTGTCTCCAAAGAAGACTGGTGGAGGCCACCCTGTAAAATACCAATTGTCTGAGGTCTATAAGAAACCCTTTTCTAACAACCTGTGGAACTTAGGGAAGTCATTTAAATCCTTTGAGCCAGTGTCTGAACATGTGTAAAATAAGCTATATGACTGAAGTGATCGCTAAGGATTTAGCAAATTTGCTCTAGTGGAAAGAACATCAGGGCTTTGATTATGGGGATCCTATTCATTCATGTCTTCACTCTGTTATTCACAAACTGTGTGAATTTGGGCCAGTAACTCCTGTAACTCTCTGGTTTATTCCTCTTTAAAATGGATATGTGGATATGGGAACTGAAACAGAAGGATGCTATTGGAGTTTTATTGCATTTACTATTACATTTCAACCAGCCAACAGATAACATCTCCTTTAATTGTGCTATGCTGCATCACAAGTCCTACTCAAATATGGTATTTGGAAAGTCAGAGTTGCCACTTCAGGTAGAAGAACTGAGGTCCTGGTTTTATGAAAAGACATCTTTTTGTTCACAGGTATTTTGTTCTTCCTTGGTTTAATTAGTCCTTGATGGGGACTGATGGATTCATATATTATGTAGCATTTCAGCAAGCTTAGAGATTCCCTGGAGCTGCTGTCATAAAAAGCCAGTGGCCAAGACTTCTCAACATGATCTCTCCCAGTAATGAGTTGTTTCTAACTTTATCCACATCACAGGCACTCAGCTCATTAGCTGGTTTTGAAGAGCAGGTTGGGCTACCAAAGACTATTATATGTGATTATTGATTTTTCTAAAACTGCATCTGGGGATTATCAACCCAGCAAGTAGCAAGTATACTAACGGTGGATGTCTTTTTTCAACTGAATATCAGGATGACCTAGATTTTTTCAGACTCAGTCAACTGAAAGAGAGTGTTTTTGTATTTTTTTAACAATCCAAAGTAATCTTCTCCCAACTACCTCAAATTAGCTGCTGTGCAGTGGGATGGTCCATGAATTATTTACAAAAATAAGCACCTGCTCCCTACGCATCTTTTTCTTCAGCTGTGACTTGTCATGCTCCTTCCTAGAAGTCAGAAGATGAGCAGGTTTAACAATCTTGCATAATAATGTCCTCCATGGACTGCCTCATTCCTTTTTCCCTCTGAGAAAATTGACCAGATAGCTAAAGCTTTGCCAAATATTGCCTTACTGACGTCCAGTTGCAAGAAGATCTTTAACAAGGCAGTAGTTTCACTGATGGCTAGTGCACTTATATACTTCTTTGGGAAAAGAAAAAAAAAACCAACAATAAAGAAAGAAATCTCATGGAGATTAAGCTATGCATGCTAGGCATCAATTCTTCAGTAATCACAATTATTGTAAAATGAGAACTGACATAAATTCAGCAGAGAATATGTACCTGGCACTGTGCTAGTTCTGCTCCATGTTACTCATCCAGTCTCCACAACCCCAGTCTCACAACCAAGTACTTTTTATTCCCATTTTAAAGACAATAGAATAATACCATGGAGGCTATCCAGCATATCATCAGGGCCTAGTATTTTTACAAATTGCTTAAAAACAAATGATCAAGTATAATTATTTTACAGAGTCTATAATGAAAGCTTTAATGCCTCCATTTTAGAAATGAGCAGGCTGGGCGTGGTGGCTCACGCCTGTAATACCAGCACTTTGGGAGACGGAGGCAGGTTTGATCAACTGAGGTCAGGAGTTCGAGACAAGCCCGGCCAACATGGTGAAACCCCGTCTCTACTAAAAATATTAAAATTAGCCAGGCATGGTGGTGTGCACCTGTAATCCCAGCTATTGGGGAAGCTGAGGCAGGATAATTGCTTGAATCCGGGAGGAGGAGGTTGCAAAGAGCAGAGATGGCGCCATTGCACTCCAGCCCGGGCAACAAGAGCAAAACTCTGTCTCAGGAAAGAAAAAGAAAAAAAGAAGAAATAAGCAAACCAAAACTGAGAGAAGTTTGGCCTTAGATAACGACTCTGCCTAGGCACCTCTGATTAAATGCTTTAACGATCATTTGTGGAGAACCTTCCATCTATCACAAATTGTTCTAAGTGCTTTACTTATGGTATTTCATTGCCCTTCCCAACAATTATGCAAAGAAAGTATTCTTATCTCAATGATTACGAATAAGAATATGGAGTCTTAAAAAGATTAGACTTTTTTTCTCAAGGTTATCCAACTAATATATTGTTGAACTAGGATTCCAATTCAGGTAGTTTGCCTTGATGCACATAGTCTTTCTTGAAAACTACTTTCCATCTCAGTGTAGGTAATCATGCACTCTGGCTTCATCCCTGGCTAAATCCTTTGAGGTTAATGACACCTTTCTTTTAGCTGTGTGCCACATTCTCATTCTGCTGATATATGGAATGAGATAAGGGTACTATCAACTGCATGGGACTGTTATGAGAATTAAATGAGTTCATATGCCTAAAGCCCTTAGAACAGAGCCTGGCACATGGAATTATAAAATGAATGCTAGCTATTGTTTTGCCATTGCTATTGTTACTGTTTTTACTTTTCTTGTAGTCTCCCTCTGTCACCCAGGCTGGAGTGCAGTGGTGCGATCTCTGGTCACTGTAACCTCCGCCTCCCAGGTTCAAGCGATTCTTCTGCCTCAACCTCCAGAGTAGCTGGGAGTATAGATGTGCACCACCACGCCCGGCTAAGTTTTGTATTTTTAGTAGAGATGGGGTTTCACCATATTGGCTGGGCTGCTCTCAAATTCAACCTCGTGATCCGCCACTTCAGCCTCCCAAAGAGCTGGGATTACCAGCGTGAGTCACCATGACCGGCCTGTTTTTACTTTTCTAAAAGGAACATAGTCTATAATAAAAATCTCATTTTCTAAAACCTTTCCATAACTATGGCAGGACTTTTTGGGAGGTGTACATGTTTCATATGCGGTATAGAAACATATTCTTAGGGGAAATGCTGGGAATGCGAAGCACATCATCCCGCTTCCTTTGTGGTATTTCCTAGGTGCTCAAAGCATAGGACTTCTCAAGGTGGCCTTGTTATCTACTACTCTTCTTTTCTGCAGCTCCTTCCTGAGCATTTAGTTGTCACAGCGACACTGACAAGCACTGACAGGCTTGTAGGCTTCCCCCAGGAGTCTCTGTAGCCAGCTTGGCTCTACCATTAAACAATCACTGTGTGAGCGCTGTGCTGTGGCTGTTGCCTGCTGGTTACAAGTCAGTCAGGTCTTCGCCTGGCAGCCAGTCATTCCCTGGGGTCTGAAAACTGACACAACAGAGCAGAATCTTCTCTTTTGCCATAGCCCAATCAAGCCAAAGGCCGTAAATATTAAATTAGGATTCCTCAGGCCTTCAGCAGAACTCATTTTTCTCTGTTCACTCTAGGGCATTGACCTGCCTGCCACATTCATCTGCATATGATAGTTTCACTTACATGTCAGGGAGATTTTTAGGGGAGATTCTTTGACTCTCTTAGCTGAGTCAAACTGAGGGGAAAGAAGGTGAATCTTTGGGGTGGTAAAAGTCAAATTGAAATCTCATTTATCCAGGAGGAGCAGGTTTTGCTCTTAAAATCTTGAAGCCTCCTGTCTAAACTGATGGCTGTTGATGACCTCAAGCACTTCATGCATTATGACCTGGGCAACATGATGTGTCAAATAATGTCAGTCTAAATAGAAAACGCAATATCTTCACTAGAAATAATTGAAAAAACTTTCTGTGGCAGTTTAATCCATGCTGTGCAATGGTTTGTTCTATCTGCACCTCACCTGCAAAGAGTTTAAGTTTTAGCATAGACCAACCTGAACTTGAACCCCAGTTTTACCACTCACAACACTGTAATCTTTGGTCAGATATTTTGGTCCTCTAAGACTTATTTCTTATTCCAATGTGGATAACTCTCATCTTCAAAGGTTATTTTGAGACTAAAAAGTGGTGATGATTTCAAAAAAGTTAGTAAATACTATATCCTCACATAATTGGCTCAAATAACCCCCTCTTAGGAAAGCCTTCACTGACCCAACCTCATGCCCCTTCCCCCCTCTCGTGTTATTTCTGATTTCTCTGTTCATATATTTCATAGAACCTATTGCTATCTGAAATAATCTTATTGTTGTTTTGCTCATTTTTCTCCTCACTTAGCCCCCTTCTCTCTCTTTTCCTGGTGTTCAGAGCAGCCCCTGGCAAAAATAGGCAATAAATTAAAATTGTGAATGGCTAAATGACTATGTTAGCATTTCATGGTGGCTGTAACAAATTACCACATACTTAATGGTGTACAACACCGCAAATTCATTCCCTTAGAGTTCCCCAGGCCAAAAGGCCAGAATTAATATCACTAAGACAAAATCAAAGCTTAGATAGGGCTGTGCTTCCTCAGAGCCTCTAGAATGATGGCCTTCCTTGGCTTGTGGATACATTATTCTCATCTCTGCCTCCATGATTACAACACCCCTCCCTCCTCTGTCTGTGTCAAATCTCTATCTGCCTCTCACTCATAAAGATACATGGGATTGCATTTCGGGTCCACCCAGTTACTCAAGGATATTCTCCCCATCTCAAGATCCTTAACATAATCATTTCTGCAAAGTCCTTTTCAGCCATAAGACAACATTCATAGGCTCCAGGGATTAGGATGTGAACATTCAGCCTACTAGACTATTTTGTCTTTTTTACTATTTTTTAATAACACTTTCTTCTATCCTTTGAATTCCATATTACCAACTTTCCTGCGATCAGTACTTATCATCTCTCTTCTTCCCTGCCCCCCTTTTTTCTACTCTGTCCTACATCTGTCCTTCTCTGCTTTTCTTTCTTTCCTCCTTATTCTTTCTCAGAGGAACCACTGAATGTAAATAATCAACTCAAGGTCCTATTGGCTTTCAGTATTTTCCCACATGCTATGTAAAATATAACAAAATGCAATATGTCCAAGCAAAGACCTCACTAAATTTGAGGAGAGCTATGTGGACCTTATTTTATTTCTTTTGATTTTAGACTATAATTACCATTTGTTTTCAACCTTTAACAGTCCCCCTCTTAATAATGCTCAGTGAATCTGTAAGTAATTATCAAGGACAATCTGTGTTTTGGTGAAGAGGGCCAAAATAATTATAACTAATCTAAGATGGCAATTGCTAGGTAGTTATTCAGCTACTATCTGATAATTAACCTGTTTTACCTGTATGATCAACTGGCTAACATTTCAATTAGAACCTGATGTAAGTTACTTAATGTCCTTGAAAGCTAGAGAAAAAAAAATTAAAAACCCATCTACCCACAAAGAGTCTTTACTAATAATTAATTGATTAATCATATTGGATTTGACTTACAGGACTCCAAGTCATTTGGATGGTAAGTATCTCAGATGATTTTAATTCATTTAGCACATTTTTAAGCTTAGGTAAACACAACAACGAAGTGGAATGTAATCACCATTATAAGAGGAAATATGGCAAACTCTGAGCTATCTTTTGCATTCAGAGTATTCAAGCATTTTCCTCTAAGGAAGAATGGCAAGGGACTCCTACAAAGGAATCTGAATGGTCCCCATGTGAGTGTTGATCACACGTTTGTGTGTCCTCTGGCCAGTGTTTCTGAAAAGGTGGCATTATTTGATTGCAGATAATTAAGACTGCAAAAGTTTCCAAAAGGCAACTTAGTGTCACTCAACAAAAGTAAGCTGAATCGGATTTGTCTTGTCTAAACAAAGGGCTGGAAATGAAAGTGCTCATCTGGCATCTTTCAGGAAAGCACCTCTTTCTTCTGTTTATTTTTGTCTATGGGAAAATAGCACTCCAAAAGCAAAACCGAAAAATTGTCATTCCTTGATGAAATGTCAGGGTCCCTGAAGCTGCTCTCCTGTTAATCCAGTGGGCTTATTTCTATCATAAGAAACTTACTTGGGAACAGCAGGCAATGAGAATGGGCAGCATGTAAAATAAACTTTATTTAACGTGGGTTCCTTGAACGCAGAAGAAATGGAGGCTTTGAGTGTGCTGAGACAGAACTCTGGGAAGCATGGGACAACTACATTTTAGCTTGTTCCTGATTATGGCCTTTGATCAAAGAGTGAGAGGAAACGCATAATTAAGGTTATAGAGGGTTCTAAGGAAAATGTGAACTTCAGTTTGTTATCCTGGCAGTTCAGGCCAATTTTGCTCTTAAATAATATAAATTAAAACTGTTTAATTTCATTTCTCTTTCTGGCCGCACATGTTTTCTTCGAATAATAGCTAGCGATACGGGAGTGCTGGGAAGGAAAGAGCGTGGTCCCTTTAAATGATACAGAAGCGGGGACAGGGGAATGCTGGGTAGAGAGGGTCTGGTCCCGGGCTAGGTCTGCACCCCCATGGACCTAGGTGAGGACAGGCACTCCTGCCTTACCGCCCAAATGTTACATTTTCCAAGACCACCCTGGCCTGCCACGCCCCCATGTTGTGCCTTTAGAAACCCGAGACCCTAGCAGGCATACACAGAAGCGGCTGGACGTCATGAGGAACACATTAACTGAAGAGCATGCCGACAGGCACCCGCAGGCCAGCAGGCCATCAGCTGGCTGAACGACGCAGAGTTTGGCAGAGCAGTTGAAGAGGAATGGCCGCTGGGTGGCCGGACTCCAGGGGAAAACCATCTCCCTTCTGGCTGCCTCATCTGTTGAGAGCTACTTCCACTCAATAAAACCTTGCACTCATTCTCCAAGCCCACGTGTGATCTGATTCTTCTGGTACACCAAGGCAAGAAACCCTGGAATACAGAAATCCCTCTGTCCTCCTAATAAGGAAGGGTGTCTAATTGAGCTGGTTAACACAAGCTGCCTATAGACGGCAAACTAAAAGAGCACCCTGTAACACCTGCCCACTGGGACGTCAGTTGTAAACATGCACCCCTAGACACTGCCATGGCATCGAAGCCCCACAGCCTTGCCTGTCTGTATGCTCCCCTAGAGATTTGAGCAGCAGGGTGCTGAAGAAGCGAGCGACACCCCATCACATGCCCTGTGAGGGGGACAAGGGAACCTTTTCTGTTTCACTAGGATGACGAGTGTCTCCTCAACAAAACAAACACCAATAACAAAATGAATAAGACTATAGTTAAACATATCTAGACTCTGGACCCAGAAATCAAGACAAGAAAGATAATTTTGTGCATATTGTACAACATCTCTGAGGCTCAGTTTCCCAAACATGGATTCTACAAGTGGAGTATTGAGTTCAAATTCCAGTTCTTCTTACCAATTGTGTGACTTTGTAGTTTAACCTTGTGGTTTCCTCATTTATAAAATTCAGGCAACAATAGCACCTATCTCACTAGTTACTGTGGTAAGTAAATTAGTCCATGTATGGAAACTTAATACATAGGACCCAGTTAGAAAAGAGTCTCAAAAAGTGCTCAGTACATGTTCACTGTTTTGTTGCTATCATTGTTGTTATTATTTTCTCATCTGTCAAAGAAGAAACAACAATTCCTACTTCCCTGAACTGTGACATGTGTAAGTATTATCGATCCACATATCTGTCATAGAATAAGGGCTTAATCCATGACATACTATGTTTCCCAAGAGTTCAATTGTCCCTTTCCACTGCATGCACCTTTCGCCTGGCTTTGCACCTTCAGTCAGGAAGTCCATTCCTGAAGAGTGTGTGAGTCATTCTATGATCAAAAGTATATGTATAGCTATAGTGCTTTTCTAGTTCTCTTCCCCTTTCCTGAAAGAGTTTTTCCATATAAGCTTACCAGAAAAGATAGCTGAATGCAGTGATTTTGAGCCACCTTAGTATTTCTGAGGCTGTAAGACCTTATGTTGTAGCAGCAATGTCTACCTTTTTAGTTGAGATTGAAGACAGAGAGAAGTTAAACATAGATTCTCAGTTCCTCTTCTCAAAAGCCGTAACTCCAGTTCTACACAGCATTCCACATTGCAACTCCCATTTGCCCTCCAAAAAGAGTTACTGATGGACTGGGAAAGCAGATTGGAAAAAATAAAAATAAAAAAGAAAGACAGAGGTGATCCATCCCTCTCTGTTTGCTATGGTTCAAAAAGCATGATGACTTCCGCAGCCCTCAGGACTAGGTTTGAAAGAGGCATTAAAGAGTTGTGGAGACCAGGAAGAGATTCTAAGTCTGTCTGGGAGAGTAAGAAACGAGATGATGTTTGAACTAGTCTTGGATAAATCCAAGTTTAGAAGAGTGGGATATACAATAATTTGGTGGTGAGAATAACGTCTTCAAACCATGGAAGGTACAATGATGCCTTTGTTTATTCCATCTTGATCTTGGAGAACTTATTGTTACTATATTTTTAAATGAAGTGAGAAAGAAGGAGGAAATGGACAGATGTTCCCAAAAGGAAGTCCTTTTGGCTTTTACAAATGCCATTGGATTACATAGATTCCTTGGAATACAATTTATACACAGCCCCACTCTTAAGGCACTTGCATCTAACACTGAGTACAAATAGATAAAAAAAGAAGAGTCATGGGTGATAAGAGTTAAAATAAATAAAATACAGCATAACAGGAGGACAAACCTAGCTTAAAAGTCAGACAAAACCTTTTTGAAACAATTTGTTTAAGTTGAGACTTAAAGAAAAAGAATTAAAGAAAACCTTGGTCTCCTATTGATCAGCTTGAAAGACACTTATATGTACTTAGTTAAAACTTAGACATTATGAGTTACTATATGAATGTATATAAATATATATATATATACACAAATAATTTTTAAAAATTAGATAAGTGAGTTCCACTTAATGCGTTCAATTTTGGTAGACAATACTCTAAAAATTTAGCATTCTTTAAAAGCTAAAAGTGAACCTTACTGACGTGCCAGTTTTAAATCACCGAAATACAAGTTTCCCAAAGATTTTTCCAATACTGAAATTCTATAATTCCTTAATTAGTACATAAAATGCAATAATAATTTATGTGCATTTATGCATGATTTTATAAGAAGTACCTCCAGTTTTTTTGCTCAATTATTTCTTGAAATCCTCTTACCATTAGTACAAACTACTGCTAAATTTTAGCGACTAACCAACAACTGTTCACTGAAACAAATAGAGATAGTATAGTAAATTCACTCAGCATATCACTCTAGGGTAAGGTTGCATGGGTTTGGATCCAGGCTCACACACATTTTTATAAAGCCTTTAAGCCTCCATTACCTCATCTGTATAAAGAAAACAGACATATAGACAACAGTAAGATAATTCACATAGAATTCTTAATCTAGTGCCTGGCATATAGTTAGCAATTATGACTTAATATCCATACCAAGTCTGAACTAAGCATATCTCTCTTCTCCAGATGAGAAAACTGAGTGTCGTAAGTTCAAGGTAAACAATTTGTTTAAAGACAAGGAATTAAATAAATCGGATACAAAATTAGGTATTTGGGTCCAAATGAATAGGTACTTCCATAGAAGAATAGTTCTGCCTATCACAGAGTTATGGTGGTGTCTGATAAGCTTGGGGGCATAGGCATCCCCAGCATGATTCCCACTGCATGATCCTCACTCGGCAGCAGTATACCGAATTGGAGATAAAGAAGAAGAACCTGTTTACTTGCCTTGCAACATTAAAAACCCAACCAAGTTCTCAGCTACCACATCATGACACAATAGTATGCCTTGATCTACTGTGAGGTAGATCCAAATAATTTGTTACAGCTAATAACCAGAATGGGAAAGTTTGTGAATATCCTGCATTGTTTTAAAGAAAGCAGATTCAAGGTTATCTCTATAATAACCTCTCTTTCCCTCATTTACATTCAGATACATTTTCTTGAGTGGTTGGAGAAGAAGTGGTGTTTGAGCTAATTCGGGAAATTGCAAATGAGTGCCATACATGCAAATGTCATCTGTCAGGTGTGTCTGATGAGAAAAAAAGTAAGTGCAGCTGCTTTAAATAGTGGTGAGAGTACAGGCAATCTCTTAGCAGCTAGGCTATTGCCCATGAAACACTTGTCAGGACTTTTATTTGCTCTTCACAATTAGTGCCCACTCCTTTTTTTCATAGTTGCTGGGTTAATACAAATCCTTAGGAAAGCCATGGCCTGGGGCTGCTTACTCTGATCAGGCTGCTGCTGCATCCTACCAGAACATTGTCCCTGTCAAGGTTCACCTAGATGGGCACTCCCCCAGGACTGGTAATCCTGGCACCGCTTAGCTCTCCTGCATGCCCAGCCTGCAATGGCAGAAGCCTCTGGAAAAACAGTGGTGGGAAGAAAGGGAGGAAAGCAGAGGGTTATGCAATATGCACCAAGTCAACTCCTTGAAATCCTGCTCACAGGTTTCCAGAACAAGATTGAAGTGACAGAAGGAGGCTGCTCTGACATGTCTCTGGGAGGTGCCTTGATGGTGACTGACAGCTTGTTAGGCAGAGGTCTAATTGAACCCAACGGCCTCATAAGTGAATGCCAAGTGCTCTAAGCCAAAGGGAAAGGAAGTGTCTGTTGGGCTTACTGTCCGCATTTCCCCAGCAGTGGCGTACAAATTACCGTTTTGCTGGGGCACCTCTTGCCAGTGGGTTTCCTGAGTTTTGCTGTTTTTATAATTAATTACTGACCCTGGAGTGTGTGTCATATACTAACCAAGGTTTCCAGCAAGAGGCAGATTATTCTACATAAGGCAATAGGGCATTGTCTGCAGCTGCTTTAAAGAAGTATGAACAACAAATAACCAGATGAAGAAGACATTCCAGCTTCGGGAACCAGAGCCTTCCTGCAGAGGGAACTCTTAGAAATTAGAAGATTGCAGGAAAATGGGAGCAATTTTTTCCTTTCTAACAAAAAGCTATTCAACCTTTATTAAATAATCATTAATATTGTGTTAAGTGCTTTACATGTATGATTTTCTTTCTATCACAAAACTGATAAACCCCATTTTACAGATGAAGAAACTCACACATAGCTTAGATACCCAAGGATAAGTATTCAAGAATAGTGAGTATTGGGGTAGGGACTTGATCTCACATCTGAGTTCCAAAATCGTGCAATTTGTGCTGTAACGAATTGGTAGTATTTCTAAAATACCTGCTCTGGACTGAGGATTCTGGAATTGTGTTAACAGGGACTCCAGTGATCAAGTCAGTATTAACAATTGTAATGAGGAGGATGAGTATAATGATAATGACAATGACAATAGCATAATGTTTTGAGATAGCAACTCATGTTTGTTTGTTTTTCTCTTCCTGAATTTCTCTTTCCTTAACCTCTATTCCAGCGGAGACTACCTCCTGTAGTTTTTTCCTCAGTCAAGGTGGCTGCAGTGCTTGAAAGCATAACAATTTGCATTTGATTTTTTTTTTTTTTGAGATGGAGTCTCACTCTGTTGCCCAGGCAGGAGTGGTGCGATCTTGGCTCACTGCAAGCTCCACCTCCCATGTTCATGCCATTCTCCTGCCTCAGCCTCCGGAGTAGCTGGGACTACAGGCGCCCGCCACCACGCCGGCTAATTTTTTTGTATTTTTAGTAGAGATGGGGTTTCACCATGTCAGCCAGGATGGTCTCGATCTCCTGACCTCGTGATCCGCCCATCTCGGCCTCCCAAAGTGCTGGGATTACAGGCGTGAGCCACCGTGCCCGGCCGCATTTGATTTTTAAAAGCCAAGTAGCAGAGAGAGGAGAGGATTCAGGATATAGACAAAATGTTTTAGACACAAGTGGGGAGAATGAAATTACTCCCTGATATGAGAAAGGCAAAAAGAGTGTCACTGTTTTAGGATGGTGTCATGGGAGTGGGAGTGGAACTGAGTGGCATTGGAACCCAGAGCGGAAATGGCCACTTGGAGCATTTATTTGGTGGGAAAATATCACCCTTTAAAAGAATTCCATGCATTCAAGAGTGACATGGATATTGTAGAGAGTAAAGAGGCATAGAAATGGCATAGTGGGTGTCTCGCTTTTAAATTTTTCATTTTAAGTTCTGGGGTACATGTGCAGGATTGTTACATAGGTAAACGTGTGTCACAGAGTTTTGTTGTCCAGATTACTTTGTCACCCAGGTGTTAATCCTAGTAGCATAGTTATTTTTCCTGATCATCTCTCTCCCCCCGCCGACCCTTCACTCTCAGATGGACCCCCAGTGTCTGTTGTTCCCCTCCATGTGTCCATGTGTTCTCATCATTTAGCTCCCACTTATAAGTGAGAACATGTGGTACTTGGTTTTGTATTCGCGCATTATTATAGCTTGCCAAAGATAATGGTTTCTAGCTTCATGCATGTTCCTGCAAAAGACATGATCTCATTCTTTTTATGACCGCATAGTAATACATGGTGTATACGTACCCCATTTTCTTTATCCTGTCTACCATTGATGGTCATTTGGGTTGTTTCCATGTTTTTGCAATTGTGAATAGTGCTGCAATTAACGTTAAGTGTGCATGTCTTTATAATAGAATGATATATATTCCTCTGGGTGTATACCCAGTAGTGGGATTGCTGGTTCAAATGGTAGTTCTGTTTTTCAGTCTTTGAGGAATCGCCACACTGCTTTCCATGATGGTTGAATTAATTTATCCTCCCACCAACAGTGTATAAGTGTTCCCTTGTCTCTACAACCTCAACCAGCATCTGTCTTTTTTTTTTAACTTTTTAATAATAGCAATAGCCATTCTGATTGGTGAGAGATGGTATCCCATTGTGGTTTTCATTTGCATTACTCTCAATCAATGCTGTTGAGCTTTTTTTCACATGCTTGTTGGCTGCACATTATGTTTCTTTTAAAAAGTTTCTGTTTATGTCCTTTGCCCACTTTTTAATGGGGTTGTTTTTTTGCTTGAAAATTTAAGTTCCTTACAGAGTCTGAATATTAGACCTTTGTCAGATGCATAGTTTGTAAATGTTTTCTACCATTCTGTAGGTTGTATATTTACTCTGTTGATTGTTTCTCTTGCTATGCAGAAATTCTTTATAGTTTAAGGGTATTGCCTAGATTATCTTCTAGGATTTTTAGTGTTAGGTTTTATATTTAAGGCTTTAATTTTTCTAGAGTTGATTTTTGTATATGGTATAAAGAAGGGGTCTAGTTTTAATCTTCTGCATATGACTAGCCAGTTATCCCAGTACCATTTATTGAATAGGGAATCCTTTTCCCATTGCTTGTTTTTGTCAGCTTTGTCAAATATCAGATGGTTGTAGGTGTGTGGCCTTATTTCTGGGCTCTCTATTTTGTTCCATTGGTCTATGTGTCTGTTTTTGTACCAGTACCATGCTGTTTTGGTTACTGCAGCCTTGTAGTATAGTTTGAAGTCAGGTATTGTTCTTTTTTCTTATGACTGCCTTGGAGATTTGGGCTCCTTTTTTGTTCCATATGATTTTTAAAATAGTTGTTTTCTAGTTCTATGAAGAATGTCATTGGTAGTTTGATAGGAATAGCATTGAATCTATAAATTGCTTTGGCCAGTATGGTCATTTTAGCAATACTGATTGTTTCTCTTAATGAACATGCAATGTTTTTCCATTTCTTTGTGTAATCTCTGATTTCTTTGAACAACATTCCGTAGTTCTCATTGTAAAGATGTTTTGGAACATGAAAAGCTCTCTCTTTCTAAGTAAAATTCCGTAGAAAGAAAGCAATGATGTCTCCACTAAGCAATAACTGTGAGCATTAATTTCATTTACTATGTAGACATTCAGAACAGGAAGAACTCAGAGAAAAGTGTTATCATAAAGACTTGAAGTATAAAAGATTAAGACACTCTTTAAGATTCCATTCCTTCATCCCCAAAATAGAAATAATCACAATATCTACTTTATAGGAGAGATTATTAAATTTATTTCATAAGTATTTATTAAACACCAATATTTATTGTTTGGCCAGTTTCTGTGAAATATGTTGAGGATACCATTGGTGGAAATAAAAGGGAAACATTTTTCATCTCATGTACCATATTGTCTGGCCACCTTAACAATATTTATAAAACCAAATATTCACAATAATTAAATACATGCATAACTAAAAATTTCAAAAGTGTTTTAGAAATTAAAAGAAATAGTACATATAATGTGTTTATGTCAGTGCTAAATTATTAATATTATTACTTATCAATTATCAACAAAAGAGGTTAAGGTGATATGGCAGTTATGATCATCAGGGTGAAAATTCTCAGATTTTTCAGTACAAGTTCTCCTGGGCTTGGATTTTTCTCTTTGTCTTTTCATTCTCTGTCTCTTTTTCTCTCCCTGCTCTGTCTCTCTCTCCAACACACACATGCTGTCTCTCTCTCTCTCTCTCTGTTTGCATAAATGTAAGCATTGGTCACACTGAACAGGTTTCTAAAGTGATGGTAAGCTAATAATAAGTACACGGTCCTACGTGATCTTAAAAATCAGGTATGTCTTTCCTAATGTCTCACTAAGAGCTCCTGTACCAGGCAAAATGATGGTCTTCAGAAAGAAGGCATCTGTATAAGAACATCCAGCCTGCTTTTACATTCTGGGCTCAGGAATCAGTAAGAAAGGAGGCAGTATGGGAGCAGCATATTGTCTATAACGTCTCTAAAATTTCCTTGCCATTTGTGTTTAATGAAACCTAGTGGGTTTCTAGTAGATGCTTCCAACAGTCTCTTGGAATATGGATTATACTGAACTATCTTGGTCTGATAATTTAATATATTATAATGGAGGGGCATTTCAAAAGAGCAATAGGATGCTTCAATTTTAAGGTCCTGTTTCTAACCTCACTTTTTATTCATAGGTTACTCTCTCTGGTTAAATCACTTAATATTGCTAGACTTTGTTTTTCTCACCTGTAGTTTAACAATGTTGAAGGCTAGATAAACAGGTATTGTCCATGTCCAACCATCTATGATTATATGATTATTTTAATAACTTCTGAAATCTCTCTCTCTGTCTTTCTCTCTATATATATATGTGTGTGTGTGTGTGTGTGTGCGTGTGTGTATCTGTATCTATCTGTCTATCTATCTATCTAAAGATAGGCAGGGACCCTAAAACTCACACATTATGCTTTTCCAATGGATTTTGCCATGAAAGCTTTGTTTTACATGATGACATGATATTAAAATTTCTCAAAGGGTAAAGCTTTGAGTTCAACCTTCTATTTTAAATCTAAGACTACATACACATATACTATAGAAAATACATTTCTGCAGTAGCTGAACTTCCAAGTCTAAAATCAATGAGGCAAAGCTGCTTTATTGAGTTATTCCAATAATACCTATCTGCTTTTAAAGGGGCCTTTGTCTAATGATAGTAAGAATTGTAGAGCCAAGAAGAATAATATACTTCATCAGATCTAAACCATTATTTCACAAATGAGAACATTTTTATCTCATTATCCTTATGCCAGCTTGGATTTGGTTTAACCTGAGATCATCTCACTGTATTGCTGTCACTATTATTACAGGATGTAGGGAACAAGCATATATTGACCACATACTATGTTAAACACTGTGATAGACAATTGCACACCATTACCTTTGTACTTCCCAGTTTCAAAGCAAGGTAGATATTAATATCACCTTTTACAGAGAAAGGAATCAAAGCCTACATTTTACATAAGTTAGACAAGCAATGTTAGTGGCAGAATCAGGATTTGAAACCATCTTTGTTTATTTGAACTCCAAACCCAAGGCTCTTTCCACAATGCTAGTTCATACCCTAGGACCTATACATTGGCATAAAAAAGTCTAAAACCTCCTGGAATTGTTTGTATAGTTTTGTATGTAGACACACACACACACACACATACACACACACACACACACACACACATACATATATATATATATATATATGTGTATATATATATATTATTTCCTCTTTGGAGAAAGTTTTAGCTTTGATTAAATTTTCAAAGGGAGACATGATCCTCAAAATATTGAAGACCCCCAAAAGTCTATTCGTATCATTATTTAAAATCTGCCTTACTGCAAAATTAATTTGGGAAAATTTGCTACATGCATCAGTTAGCCCAGGCTGGATGGCATCCACCACGTCTCAGTGGGTAAAAATGCCAAAGGTTCATTTCACACCCAGACTCCATGACCATGTGAGGTAGTTAGGGTGGTAGCTTCTGGGTGGCCCACATTCAATGAGCTGGGATGATGAAGTCTCCTCTATCTGGAAAGTCCTGTGACATGTCAAAGACAGGGAAAATGGAGAATCATCCAGGCACGGTGGCTCACGCCTGAAATCCCAGCACTTTGGGAGGCCAAGGCAGGTGGATTACAAGGTCAGGAGATCGTGTCCATCCTGGCTAACACACTGAAACCCCGTCTCTACTAAAAATACAAAGAAATTAGCCGGGCGTGGTGGCAGACACCTGTAGTCCCAGTTACTTGGGAGGCTGAGGCAGGAGAATGGTGTGAACCCAGGAAGCGGAGCTTGCAGTGAGCCGAGATCGCGCCACTGCACTCCAGCCTGGGCGACAGAGTGAGACTCCATCAAAAAAAAAAAAAAAAAACCAAGAAAATGGAGAATCAGAATCAGTGACTGGCTCCTACGTGTACCCATAATATCTGTTCATGTTTAGTTAGCCAAAGTTAGCAACATGACCATCTAAAGACAAAGGGTGAGAAGCATCATCTTTTGGGATGCCCAAAGCAGAAGAGCAAACATTTTTCATAAAAGGCTAAGAGGTAGAAATTTTCAGCTTTGTGGGCCATTCTGTCACAACTGCTCAGTCCTATTTTTGTAGAGTGAAAACAGCTATAGAAAATAAGCAAATGGGCATGGCTGTGTATCATTTGGTCCTGAGGGCTGAAGTTTATGAATTCCTCACCTATATGATCAACATGCATTGGTTGCTTAGCAACAGCAAAGCTTTTTTGTGAGTTAAGGTCAAAGACAAATTTGTCCATTGGCTACTCAAACTAGAACTTTAGTGATGAAGTGAATATTTTCAACAAAATTCCTATAACCTATGTATAATTGTATTCTAAAAAGTTGTATGACTATTTCTAAATGAAAGCTAAGGCATATTATAATTCTACAAGGTGAAAAACATGCTTAAATTTAAACTTGTCTCATAGCCTGATTTTATCTATGAAAAATATTTGAAATAAATAAAAGATTTATAGATTATCCTTAAAGTAATCAATCATAGATCAATATTATTTTTCATCACTTTATTTTTGATTTTTTTTATAAGTAGCTGATACCTGGTAAGAATATCACATTCTGAATACGGATATTCCATGTATCACAGTAACATAGACTTAAAAAATTGAGATTTCCTGAAAAAAGTGAGCCAACCTGCCTTGAAGAAAATCAAAGAAACAAACCAAGATTCTTTTCTTATCTTTATCGCCCACTGCAGATGGGAGAACAGGAGCTGAAAGTGACCGAAGTGACTCAAATATTAGTTGGAAAGTGTTGCGACTAGAACCTAAGTCTTCTTCCTCCCAGGTTGGGCTCGTTTCTACTCAGGCCATGAACTTTTTACTCATGGGACTGCATGTAATAGAATAAAATAGCAATGTTTAAGAGCTGGACCTCTGGAAAAAGGCCATACTGTCATGCTTTGTTTTTATTTTAAATCCCCCACTTACTTGCCCCAGGACCTTGGGCAAGTTATTACACCTTTATAAGTCCCAATTTCCTCATTTAGAAAATTAGAATACTAGGACCTTCTGCATAAGATTGTTCATAGAATTCAATATTATAGGCTTGTAAAATGCTTAGCACAACTTCTTGCGTATAGTAACTGCTCAACAAAGTATAGCTATCATTTTTACTCTAATTATTAACTTCATTATATTCAGCCTTATACAATAGCATGCATTTACCTGTTAGGATGGTTATTAGTTTAATAAAAATATATGTCCTTGAATATCAGAGAAATTGGAACCCTTCTACACTGTTGGTGGGAACGTAAAATGGTGCAGTCATTATGGAGGTTCTTCAAAAAATTAAAAATAGAACCACCATATGATCCAGCAAGCCCACTTTTGGATATTCACCCAAAAGGATTGATTCATGACCTTGAAGAGATAAATGTACTCTTACATCCATTGCAGCATTATTCAGAGTAGCCACGATATGGAAACAAACAAAATGTGCATCAACAGATAAATAGTAAAGAAAATGTGTTATATACATACAATGGAATACTACTCAGCCCTCAAAAAGGAAGAAATCTCACCATTTGCAACAACATGTATACAGCTGGAGGACATAATTTTAAGTGAAATGAGCAGGCTACAGGTGGACAAATACTAGATGATTCCAGTTACATGAAGTATCTAAAATAGTCAGATTCATAGAAGCAGAGAATAGAATGGTGGTTGCCAGAGGTTCAGAGTAGAGATGTTGCTCAATGGGTATAATGTTTCAACTTTGCAAGATAAAAAAGTTCTTGATATTTGCTATACATCATAGTGCTTACATTATGGTATT
The DNA here is from genome assembly GCF_000001405.40 of Homo sapiens. Taxonomy (NCBI): domain Eukaryota; kingdom Metazoa; phylum Chordata; class Mammalia; order Primates; family Hominidae; genus Homo; species Homo sapiens. The sequence continues at coordinate 41,935,773 of NC_000011.10, read as the reverse complement.
GTGCACTTAAAAAATTTTAAGAGGACAGATCTCATGTTAAATGTTCTCACCACAAAACCAAAACAAAACCAAGGATAAAACAAATAAAGCAAACATAAAGGAGTTACCTGGTATAATGCCAACATGCCATAGCTGAATTTCTATCCTGTCCTAACTCTGCTTATTTTTAAAAACCAGGGCACTGGTGATAAAAAGTTCCCTTAGTAACCAGACCAGCTGAGACTGGTAAGAACCAAGAAAGCCAACCAAATGACTTCAAAAAGACCTCAGGCTTCATATAATCTCATTTTCATGCTAAATGACTCTCCCACCATTGCCATAGTGTTGATAATCACCATGACAATGACCAGAAGAAGTCATTAAAGAACAAAAAGGAAAGCAGTACTCTGTTTCCAGAAAGCTCACCTCCCATTGCCAGAAAAAGCATGAGTATTCCTCCCCTCACTTTAATGTCCAACCCCTTTATTAAAGAAAGCCTATATTTTAATTCCCTCACCCCTCACCCGTTGAAGTTGATTTGTAGGCCATGCTTCCACCTCTCAATTCTATGGCCATCAAACAAAGCCTGTACTGCTTGACACTCACTTTTGGTTTCATGTATTGGCTCTGTGACACTGAACAGGGAAAGACCCCATCTTAGGGGACCAGCTTTATCAAAGGGACACAAGGAAACTTTCGAAAGCAAAGGATATATTTATTACCTTGAATGTGGTGATATTATTATGAGTATATGCATATGTCAAACTTATCAAAATGTGTGTATTAAATGTGATGTTTTCATTGTATATAGACTATAGTAAAGCTGTTTAAAAATAGTGTTTGTTCGATTATGATCTGTTTGATTACAATCTGTTTGCAAACTCTCTGCACCTCACTTGTGGAAAATTGACTACCCCTCACATAAACAAGATCCATTTGTGTGTTAAGTATATGCACTCTTTGCTGCCTGGATTTTGAGGTAAAATATTTTTTAATGAAATAGTGAATATTCTTCCTTAAACGCACTTTATCTCTGGCCAGAGACAGCAGAGCAGCCCAAAATATTTTGTCGCAGCACTTTTGAGTAAATGGGTAACATTAACATGAGTGTGAATTTTTGTTTCTCAGCTCGACATGTATCACCAGCTTAAAATCTCTCTGAGAAAACACAGCTTTGCACTCACATGCACACAAGCTCATGTGCATACCCAGAGCACTGAGGTCAGAGAAGTGATTCTGAATCCTGAAGTCTACTCAAATGCACAGTGGCACAGCCTTGACTTAGCTTAAACATCTGAAGAGCAATTAATGGACACTGTCCACTTTGTGGCTACCCAGGAGGTTAGAAGAACCTTCCATTTATTATCCCTTATTCTTGAGTTTTTGTGAGAGTATATATAAATGTTAAACGAAGACTATTGTGGAAAAGAGACAAAGTGCTCCAATGTTGCACACAGAAATGTATGATCACATTTTTCTCTGTCCCAACAATGGTTTAATTACTTTCCGAGTACAAAATGTAATCAGACACACAAAGCAAACTTTAAAAAGTGTCTTTGCCAAACACCATTGTGTAGGAACAAGGTGAAAGCCATCTTCCTCCTTCTCTTCCTTGTTTCCTTCTTTCCTCCCTTTATTTTAGAAAAATAGGATGTGGAGATTTAAATTATTTCTAAGCCCTCCATAGTATCACCTCCACTTACTTTTTACAGTTATTGCCCATTGCTCCTCCTTGTGAAGCTTTCTATCTTACAATTCTGAACCATTTCTTATTCCTTTGTTTTGTTGCTTAAGTCTCCTTATCATTTATTACTCCCTTCTTTGACCCCTATCACCACCTGAATAGATCCTATACACATTTAACTGTGGGTTAGAATGAAACAAATAGTCACTGAGCAATTACAAAACTAGATATACAGGGGTTGAACAAATCAGATGTTTTACTCTTTTTTTCACAATATATATAAAGTACTTAATAGTTGTTGGAGGATGTAAAATAACAGTCTCAGAAAGTTCAACACTTACATTCAGAAAGTAGAACCTTTGATTTAAACCTAAATTTTAGGGAGCCACTTTTTTTAAGGGGTAAGGGAGGAGTCAATTGGGCCAAAGAGAAATATTCTCTTAAGTCATACTTCAAACTGCCCTAAACCCGCTGCTTCAAGGGCCTCTTTCCTGAGTCTGTTATCCTCAGAGGACTCCATTGCTGATGTGTTCATCTGGACTCAAGGAGTGACCAGGAGCCTGCTGTTTACAGAAAGCATGGATGGAGCTTGATAGGAAGGCGGGGTGTCCACATGCGGCAGGGTATAATCAGGTGTAGGAAGGAGTCAATCATTCTGAATTAAATTCTGGCTTTCCATGTTGTGGTGAAAATGTCGCCTTGTATTCTTGCCCCAGGCCTGCAAACGTTAGGCATGGACAGGAACTACATGGCCTGTTCTCTATGGGGCCTTCCTTAATCCTCTCAGCCACTTCTGAACTTCTGTTTTACTGGCTCTAGGCCTTGTCTGCTCCATAGATCACTTTTAGTTGTGAATTAGTTATATTTATGAACAGACATTTTCATTATCAGCTTATAAACCTCTTGAAAGCAGACTCTGTATGAAAGATACATATTGGTGGTTTCAATATACCTATAACAGTGTATCTTCCAAGTTATGGATAATTGATAATTTTTGTTGAGTTAGTAGAAAGATAAAGAAGTTTTTTAAAAATGTAGATTTTTTTCCCTCTTCTAGAATGTGCCAGATACATGATAGTTGGCTCTTGTCAAGGTCATTTGGTTATAACAAACACATTCAGGTTAATGGAGAATTCAAGGAGACCCTTAAGATCTGGTGGGGATAAAGTAGGACTGAGACTCATAGGCACTAAAACTGAGGGTTTAAGAACGTGACTGTCTTGTTTTTTCTAGGACGACAAGACTGTGAATTGCCACTTCTCTGATACCGGTTTCCTCTGCCTACAAGGTTTCTGCTCCATTTACTGTGATTCAGTCTTGCCTGGTCTTTCGTTTTACTGGAACACTGTCTGTGTCAGTCAGCATTCAACCAGAGGAACAGAGCCAGTAGGAGGTACATATTAAGAGATTTATTGAAAGGAATTGTCTTATGTGATTGTGGGGGCTGACTAGGCAAGTCCAAAATCTGTAAAGCAGGTCCTTAGGAAGGGCAGGCTGAAGTTCTCAGGTCGGGGCTGAAGCTTCTGTCCACAGGTAGAATTTCGTCTTTCTCAGGTAAGCCTTGGTTCTGCTCTTATAGCCTTTCAACTGATTAAATTGTACCTCCCCAGATTATATACAATATTCTCTCTTACCTAAAGTCAACTGATTTTGCACCTTAATCACAGCTACAAAATGTCATTACAGCAACACCTAGATTCATGTTTGGATGAGTACATATTCTAACTAAGTTGACACAGAAAGGAAGCTATCACACTGTCTCTGGCCTCTATTTAGCCAGACCCTTTGTTTGGCTTCCCACACTTAGATAGCCTCATTTTATTTTAGTTAAAATATTCAAAATAAAAGCTCATGTTAGTTGTTGGCAATCAATGTTTTCTATCCCTGGTGAGGTAAATGGGGACAAGATAGAATATGTAGATCTGCTCCTTCCAGAGACTGTGGTGGAAAGTTTCTCTAGAACCTGTAGGCATGGTTAGCCAAGAAGCCCATCTTGTAGAATATCTACATTTCCTTGGCTCTCTTCCTTAATATTGTGGAAGTAAGGGATCAGGCCATGAGAGGTAAGGCACATTCTCAGTCCCTTAATTTTACAATAAACAGTCTCATCTGAAAGGAAGTTTTATATGGATGAAGTAAGTTTGAAGCATACACCAAGAAAACATTCATCAGAATTTTGCTCATTTACAACTGTATTAAATATAGAGGCAAACCAATAAAATGCAGTATGGCCATAAAACTCATAATTTGTTTCAAATGTAATAATAGTAATAAAATACCTGAGTGAATCTTTTGCAATTTTTTCCCTGTGTGTTACTAACGTAGCTTAATTCTGTCAGCTTTTATCATTCAGACTTGTATTCATTTGCAGGGTAAATATCTACTCTGTTTCATAATTTTGCAAGTGTGTAACTTGGATGGAGATTATAAAATTTTACTCACCAATGGCAGCTCTTTCCTTCAGTATATCCAATTAAGTTTTCATTCTAAAGCAAAGTCTTACAGATCACAGCAGAAACAAACAATTGTCATGGGCTGTGGCTGGGCTAAATGCTAATCGTGGCTGGCTTCGTTCTGCCCACAAAATTTGTGTTTTACAGTGAAATTCAGAATAGTATAAATGAGCTATAAATTGCATTTTCATTCTCCAGCCTCCATCATACAAATTCTGTAAGTGAGTTATGCATCTTATATGGTTTGCTTTTGATACCACAGATTGCTGTGTCCTGTGGTTTTATGTACTCAACCTCTCTTGCTGATAAGCACCTTTGCCCTAAGTGAAAGAGAGAAAAAAATGAAGGTGCAAAGGACTGAACTATTGAAGCACTTAAAGGAGATCTCTAAGACAGAATATTTAAGATGTAGGTTCAGTATATTCACTTATGGGCTAATTTGTGAAAAGCCTCCATTTTATAAATGACACACTGTGTTCGGTACTCTGGATATTGTCCCACATATATACATGTATGTGGGTGTGTATCTCTCTCTCTCTCTCTCTATCTATCTATATGAGAGGCAGCTCAAGTTCCAAAATCTCTCTCTCTCTCTGGTCTCTAAATAAGAAAGGTACAGGGAGTATTGTGATGTGATTAAAACAAGTCTAATCACAGACAAAGTGTGCACTGCTTTATGAATGTTCCATGGAGGAGCAGATTGCATCCAGCAGAAATAAGACATAACTTCATGAAGGAGTTTTGAAAGATATTAAAGATGGATTTATTGACAGTACAGAACTAGGAAATCATATGAGCAATGGCAAAGTGCAGGGAAACAGAAGGTGTGTTTGGGTACAGGAAGTCATCCTATGTGAGTGCAGAGGAGGACACTGCCAAAACGATATGGCTGAACCCAGATTATGGAAGATCTTCAATATGAGAATAAATTGTGTACTTATTTCCGAGGAATGTAACAGATAATTCTGTGAACAAATGTAATAAAGATGTTAAGGCAGAAACATCCAGGCAAAAACTTGCCTTCTTAGGAATCCCTAACCAGCACTCCTTAGAATGTGGTCCTTATCTGTTTGCTACTGGTTCACACCGAGATAAATGCAAACAATAAAATTAAATATACAAAAATTTTCTAAAAACCTGTTATAGCCATCCAAATGCATGACTTTGTATTTTTCAATCCATGATGGATTGAAAAAAGAATTGATCTTCACTGCAAATAATCTGAGAGGTACCCCAGTGCCTACTCAGCATGATGCTTAGCATATAGATATATTCACTTTGCAACTGGAGTTGGAATTTCTGTGTCTGTCTTTCTCTTGTTCTTAATTACCTTTATCTCACTGGCCATGTTACTTTTTGATCTTGACATTTTGATATTGCATATTTATCTTGACCTGTTGAAAGGCAATAATATCAGGCCATAGAAATTAATCCCATGTAATTCAGAGCAAGGGTCAGCAAATTATGGCCTATGGGCCAAATTCAGTTGTCTGTCTTTTTTGTAAATTGAATTTTATTTGAACAAAACCATGCTTATTTGTTTACATTTTATCTATGGTTGTTTTCATGACATAACAGCAGAGCTGAATAGGTGTCACAAAGATTGTACTGACAGCAAATCCTAACATATTTACAAATGGTTCCTTTATAGTAAAAGTGTATGTGAAAAGTGATTGAGTCTTATATGGAAGCTACTCATCACATATGTAAGGTTCTTATTTTTAGGCATGAAAGGAAGCTCAGAGAACATGCTACATTAACTAATTTCTCACACCAAGTTTTTAGTTCAGCCCAGAATAGAATGCAAGCTAATGACATTTGATGAGAAAAATCTGATTCTTGTCACTGGTTCTAAAAGCCCATATCAGGTGCGTATATCCTAGAGACAATAACACCCACATAAAGGTTATGTGGGGAAGTTGAAGTCATTTCAGGTAACAACTACTTTAAATTTCTTCATGTATCATTTTTTGCTTTGGCTTCTAACAGCATCAGGGTAATCAAAAGATTTTTTCCTGGAAGTAGTAGTTTCTTGAATTGGTATGGAATTATATAAAAAGGTAAGGCTGGGCGCGGTGGCTCATGCATCCCAGCACTTTGGAAGGCCGAGGTGGGTGGATTGCCTAAGGTCAGGAGTTCGAGACCAGCCTGACCAACATGGTGAAACCCCGTCTGTCTACTACAGATACAATAAACTAGCTGGGCATGGTGGCGGGCGCCTATAATCCTGGCTACTCAGAAGACTGAGGCAGGAGAATCCTTGAACCTGGGAAGTGGAGGTTGCAGTGAGTCGAGATTGTGCCATTATACTCTAGGCTGGGCAACAAGAGTGAAACTCCACCAAAAAGAAAAGAAGTAAAGATATTAAGTAAAACCGTTTACTCTTCTCCTTATATACCTTCTTATATATTTGTGTCGTGGTTATCATTGTGGAACACAACCACTGCAACATTATTTGGTATACTGGACCCATTTCCATATTTAGCTATATTCTCAGGAGCAAAATAATTGAGGGATCGAGAATAGAAGGGAAGAGAGGCATTAATTCTTTGCTTTAATTTTTGTAAGACAAAGAAGGGCATATTATCAATCTATAGATAAACTTATGTGATATATATTACCCCATTTTACAGTGAAGAAACTAAGATTTAGAGAAGTTGTATAACTTGCCAGTGTTGCATAGCTAGTAAGTGAAGGAAAGTGCATTTCAGCGTAAGCCTATTCTTCTCACTCTCCCAGCTGAAGTTTGAAAAAAATAATGCCATGTCAGAATATAAATCTAGGTGGAAAAAGGAAAATGAGCAAGATCAAGATCCATAGTGATTAAAAAGTTCTCAGCTTGGCTGGGCGTGGTGGCTCATGCCTGTAATCCCAGCATTTTGGGAGGCCAAGGCGGGTGTATCACCTGAGATTGGGAGTTCAAGACCAGCCTGATCAACATGGAGAAACCCCGTCTCTACTAAAAATACAAAATTAGCTGGGCGTGGTGGCACATGCCTGTAATCCCAGCTACTTGGGTGGCTGAGGCAGGAGAATCGCTTGAACCTGGATGGCAGAGGTTGCAGTGAGCCAAGATTGCACCATTGCACTCCAGCCTGGGCAACAAGAGTGAAAATCTCCTTCTCAAAAAAAAAAAAAAAAAAAGCACACACACACAAAACAAAACAAACAAAAAAAAAGTCCTCAGCTCAATATGGACAAGATCAGGTGGGAAAAGAATGCAAGTAAATTCATTACATAGAGGTGGAAAAAAATTTTAAAAAAAGCAGGAGTGAAAAGAGTGATGTTGGGCAGAGACAATGGTTAGAGGCATAGTGCATATATTTTGAATAATAAAACAGCTTCCATATTTTTAAGTCTCTGCACACACATGTATATTTATGAATACATATTACCAACAATGAAAAAAACATCTGCAACCCATACCTTGGAGAAGACAAGGGGCTGTAAATGGTTCTGTGGCTCACTATGATCTGCTGGTATTCTGAAATAAATTCGTGTATAAATGCTTTGTTGCTTATAAATCCAACCGCAGGTGAATAATATTTGCAAATCTCTAACAACTTGGAAACGTATATTGATTGCACCAGAACCTAGACTATTAAAAGTCATTACAAGGTATATTTTATTTGACTATCTTCCAGAAAAAATAGTTTTTTTCTATTCAGTTGTCTTTTAGAAAAATAACTTTCTTTCTCTCAATCTCTCACTCTCTGTCTCCCCTACACCTCCTTTTTATACAAGACTTAAATCATGACACCATTTATGCATTTGGGTACAGGATCAGAAATTCACATAATGAATACTGCAGCTCACTATTTTTAAAGAAGCTTTTGACTCAGAAAATAAACGTTTTAGAAGATAAATTTTGTTTGCTTATTTGTTTCTATATTATATTTATTAACAACTACTGGCTGATTACATTAAGGCCAATTTCAACATTAAAAGGAACATACTGTCAAGCATGGTAAATCTTCCATACTCTAACCTCCCCTCGACCACCTAGAATTCAGTCACTAGCAAAAAGTCCCCCAGGAATATATATAAGAAACTACAGATCCGTGGAAGCCTGCAAATCACTTTTCTGGCATTCTAGTCCACTCAGATGTTCCTCAAGTCCTGTAGTATAAGCCTGTTTGAAACCAATTAATTTTGTGAAGGAAACCCCCACTGCCCATATTTTGTGTTCTAGAGAAGGGCTTCCCATCAATCCAGTTGTCTAAACTAGATACCTAGGTTTCATTCTTGCCTCTCCTCTCTTCATCACCACCACCATCTAGTTGTTTGTTTATTTGTTTTAACCAATCTTTATTGATTCTACCTTTCTTAACTCATTCACCTCTATCCACCTCCATTGCTCTGGCTCTGAGTGAATGACCATTTACCCAGGGATGGCTGCAAATGCCTCCAAACTGTTCTCCCTGCTTCCACTTTTGTCTTGCTCCCACCCATTCTTCATGCAGCAACTAGAGAATTTTTCCCCTCAAATTCAGTCATGCCATTCCTCTATTTAAAGGTCTTTGTTAACTAACAATTGCTTTTAGAATCAAATCTAGACTAAGCAAATTGTTCTGCAGAGCTCAATCATCTGACTTTTATTGATCTCTGCTGCTCTATCTTTCCTGTCTAACCTGAGAAACTTAATATAGCTCACAAGAAGCACACTCTTGTTTATCGCCAGGACTTTATTCTATTCATTTCACCTGGAATGCTATTCCAGGGTTCTTTGTGTGATCAACAGTTTTGTGTCCTTCAGAATCCAGCTTAGAATTTAATTAATCTGGAAAGATTTCCCTGACTGGTGCCTCCCCTCACACTCAACACACATCACACCATGTTCTTGCTCAAATGCATCTCATTATTTCTCATTCAGTGCATTTAACATTTGTATTAGTTTCATCTTGCTACCATAACAAATTACTACACACATATTAGCTTAAAACACTAGATACTAATTGTCTTACAGCTCTGGAGATCAAAATTGTGGCATAGGTCTGATTGAGCTGAAATCAAGGTGTCAACAGGGGTGCATTCTTTCTGGAGGCTCTAGAAGAGCCTTCCCTTTCCAGCACGTAGAGGCTGACTGCATTGCTTGACTCATGCCCTCCTTCCACCACCTTAAAAGCCATCAACATCAGGCCAAGTCCTTCTCACATCATGTCATTTTCAGTTTCTCTTCTTCTTGTCTTAACGCCTCTTCTGTATCTTTCTTCTACTTTTAAACGTTCTTCTGATTACATCTGTACCCATCTGGACAATCCAATTCCTATTGTAAAGTCAGAAGTTAACAATCTTAATTCTGTCTCCCGCCTTAATTTCCCTTTGCCATGTAAGGTAACGTGTTACTAGGATCCAGAAATTGGAACGTAAACTTCTTTTGGTGGAGTAAAGATTATTCTTCTTACCACAATACTTTCTACTATAATTTTATGTTTACTTGTCTGTGAGCACCACCCCCCCAACTCCCCTGCAGGCAACACACCCCAGCCATACACTTACATATAAGTTTTGAGAGAGAAGAAATGGTATTTGGCCCCTTATCAAAGCTCTGGTGGCTAGCAAAACTCTTCGTATGTAGTAGGTCAGTACATATTTTGAAAGGATAAGTTAATGAAAACTGAGTCAAAGAGTCTACGGACCCCTTCAGTTCTGAACTGATAGTCTTAATGAAAGACCATCACTTAACTTGTAGAAAAGAAGAAAGCTACATGAATAAGTTTGTTTAACTTCCTCCAACAATGCTGTGCCCTAATTGTTGTGGTATTAAAATATTCAGTTATTAAGGAAGCAGAACAAATAACTCAATGATAAGTGTGACTTATTCATTGCACCGTCTATAATTAGATAAAAAGGATTAGTTTTATTTTGCTTTGCTAAGAATGTAGTACTATTATCATTATTATGAATTACTTTTTGGAGTTAAAAGAGTACAAAATCTGACTTTTTAGTGTTAGATCTGGCCCTGAGAGATGTTGTCTTATTTTATTTTTATTATTTTATGTTTTATGTATATATGTATGCATGCATGTATTTAAATTGACAAATAAAAATTGTGTATATTTATGGTATACAACATGATGTTTTGATATATGTATACATTGTGGAATGGCTAAATCAAGCTAAGTAATTTATTCCCTACCTCAGACACTTAAATTTTTTTGTGGCAAGAACATTTAAAATCTACTCTTTTATTAATTTTCAATTATACAATACATTGTTAATGACTATAGTCACAATGTTTTACAATAGATCTCCTGAACTTATTCTTTTTGTCTACCTAGAATGTTGCATTCTTTAACAACATGTCTCAAAATCCTCCTTCCCACCCTATAACTCTGGTAACAACCATTCTACTCTGATTCTATGAGTTCAAAGTTTTAAGATTTCATATATAAGTGAGATAATGCAGTATTTAAATACCTTTCTCCGTCTGGCTTATTTCACATAGCATAATATCTTCCAGGTTTTTCATCCACGTTGTGACAAATGATAGAATTTTTTTAAAGCTGAATAGTATTCCACTGTGTATATGTATGTGTGTGTGTGTGTGTGTGTGTGTGTATCACATTTTCTTTATCCACTCATTTGTTCAAAGACACTTAGTTTGATTCTATATCCTGACATTTCTAATACCCATTAATAAAAATTTGAGACTTTTATACGATGTCATTAAATTAAATGAAACAGTGACCTATATTTCACACGCAGCTCTTTTCTTCCACTATCATATGTCACATGGATTCACAGTGTCAGCATCATTAGGATTTTTTTTTTTTTTGAGACGAAGTCTCACTCTGTCGCCCTTGTTGGAGTGCAGTGGTGCGATCTCAGCTCACTGGAACCTCTGCTTCCTGGGTTCAAGTGATTCTCCTGCCTCAGCCTCCTGAGTAGCTGGGACTACAGGCGTGTGCCACCAAGTCCAGCTAACTTTTTGTATTTTTAGTAGAGATGAGGTTTCGCTGTGTTAGCCAGGATGGTCTCGATCTCCTGACCTCATAATCGGTCTCCGTCAGATTCCCAAAGTACTGGGATTACAGGCTTGAGCCACCATGCTTGTGGTGGCTTAGCATTTTTTACCAGATAATTGTTGGTGGAGGAAAGCTGCCTAGTGTGCTTCAGGGTATTCAGCAGCATCCTGGCCTTTATCCTCCCAATGCCAATAGCACCTTTCTGGTTGTGAAAACCAATAATATCTCCAGATATTGACAAATCATTGTGGGGAGAGGGAGGAAGGCACAATCAGCATCAGTTGAGAACTACCAATATAACTGGTTAGATAAAATTTAAGACAATTTCGTTGTCTTTCCCTTAAAGACTCTTGGATATTATACTGGAAAGGAGATTCTCTGATAATGTGGGGTACACATTCATGTAGAAATGATATAATTTCTGAGCCCCTGGTTAAGGGCTCTTTGACAGATCATAACAAGCATCCATTTTTGTCCCCCATTTTTACTCTTTTCCTCAATTAAGAATTCTTTTATGTCTCCTTATTTTATTTTGCTCTTATAATAAGCATTAACCGGTGCTTACCACATATGGAAACTATTATATTGGATTTAAAGATGGAGGTTCCTCCTCCTCCTTTTCCTTTTCCTCTGTTTGCCCTTCACTGTGCCAGTGAGGGCATTTTGATAGCCTCTCAAATGAACACACATATATGTGTGTCATGTAAATAATAACCACTTTCTAAAAGTGACCCATAAAAGCCAGTCCTGACCCTATTAGCTCCTCCTTTTCCATATGCCAAGCTCCATGTTCTTTTAGGAACAGCCAATTAATCCTAGACTATGTTATTTGATTATGCTGATCATCTCATGAATAGCTGCCCAGTAATTGGTTTTATCAGTTTTTCTAGAGTGCTGCATGAAGTGTAACCACCAGAAAATGTCAGTCTACTTTCAATGAAAATCACTTTTAATTTTTTGGTTGCCTGATAAGCTACACAAAGAGAAATATTTTAAGCACATAATCCTAGAATCCATCCTTTGAAGTAATTTTATTTTCTTATCTGCTGGCTTCTGTTTACAAGCAGTTTGTGCTTTTAATCAATAGTTTATTAGATCATAGAGAAAAAAAAGTGTGGACCACTTTTTAAAATGTTTGTTTGTATCTACTTCCTTTTGTTTCCAAGGCAAACTTGGTAGCTGGCCTATGATATACATGACTTCTGTGGACAGCCAAGGAACTCTGACTTCATTCTACCCCAAATATATTTCTAATATTCGAAGTTAGATATCTGTTTCTTTCACATAAGATTTTGAGAAATTAATCAAACTTGGATAAGATATGACGTCTTGACTTAATGACAATTTTGTAGCATAATTTTTTGTAGATAGGAGTAAGAAAATATCATAAATCAGCTCTTGATAGGAACAGCAGAGAGAAGAACAGAAAAAAAAAGAGTCCTGTGGGTACTTAAGAGCATCCTGGCCTACTTATCAGTTTGTCACCAGTGGGTTCCAACCATGGTGTGGCATTTAATTAGGTTGGATTGCATTATGTGTGAGTACATAGGTCTATAAGACTCATGGATATACTGGACTAGGGACTACAAAATTTCAATGGGTGAGTTTTTTGTTTTGTTTTACATGTGAGAACTATATTTCTGACTAACCCATACCAAGATGTAGAACACTTGTCAATAAAAGTGTGTAATCTGTTTGGGTTTCTTTTTCCTCATTACTTCATACTCAATGTGTAGATCAGAGGCTGTAAACAGTGGCTCCTTAGTAAATTTATATTGAATGAATGAATGAAAAGTCACAAAGGAGGTCTGGAACAATTATTCCTCCCTATTCTTAAATTGTTAAATGTAATATGTCCCCTGTCAAGAGAGTTGTCCATCAAAGTCTCATTTCAGATATACAGTTCACCCACATGATTTTATTGGTTTGATAGCAGTTCTGGTGTTCTGGGGATCTGTGTTGTATTTGAACCCATGGGCATATAAGTCTCAGAGGTGAGAAAGTGGAAAGTGTACAGGCTTTGGAGTCCTCAAGAATGAGTCTGTATCCTACCTCTATTTCTCACTAGCTTCAGGACCCTACACCTCCTAAGCTTTGGTTGCTTCCTGAAAATATGGAGAACTGACATGTACTGTGGATTCCTTCCTCTAAGTCAACTGTGGAGAAACTGCAGATGAGGGAAGAATGTACAGATCTAAAGGTTTTATGAAAAACCCAGGAAAACACCAAACACTTCTGTAAACTGATGTGTGGCAGGTGGCAACCTGCAGCACTGCGGTGAAATGCCAGAGCAGACAGGTATGGAAAAGGTTTTTTCCTTCCAATTTACCTCTAGGCTTGGGAAGATTCCTGCCTTCTGTAATCCCCAGGGAGTCAGTGTCAGCAGCACTTGCTCAGGCTATCAAGTGTTAGTAGTGCGTAGCACAGCACAACCTGCTGCAAACAACTGTGAACTGCCCCACCCCCTCTAACATTCAGTCATCCTTCCCTTCTCCCTTCAAACCCTTAGCCATGGGGGATTACCATCTAAAGAGAATGCTTTTTTCCCTTTGCTGGCTTGTTCAAAGGGTTTAAAGGAGAATCCATGATCATAGGATTATGCCTGGTGGAAATGAAGCAAAGAAGGTGGTTGCCAGCAGTTCTGAGGCACATTGTCTCTTGTCTCCTGAAATTCACAGGAAGAGCACAAACAAAGAGGGCCTGGGCTTTGACTCCTCCCTAAACCTAATAACAATCAGATTTTTCTGATACCCCCTGGGGGACAGGCACTCTCAGCCAAAATAACCAGATGCTTAGGAAATGCAACCATTAGAAAGAAAATATCAAACAGAACAATGTTTATTACATAAATTTTAAAATGGGGATCAACAATTTAAACTAATCCTGAAAATATTTGCAATGACATAGGGGAAAATGTTAATGAAATGAGACAGGACGATTGAAAAATTAGTCATAAAAATTACAGTAGTTGTTATGCAGTCATAAAAAAGAAAGAAATTATGTCCTTTGCAGCCACATGAATGGAACTGGAGTCCACTACCTTAAGTAAATGAACTCAGGATCAGAAAACCAAATATTGCATGTTCTCACTTATAAGAGGGTGCTAAACAATGAATACATATGGACATAAAGATGGAAATAATAGACACTGGGTCTCCAGAAAGGGAAAGGATGGGAGAGGACTAAAGGTTGGAAACTTACCTGTTGGGTACAACATTCAATATTTGGGTTGTAGGCACACTAGAAGCACACCAGTCCCCACCATTACAAAATATACCCATGTAAGAAACATGCAAATGTACCCCCAGACATAGAATTAAGAGAAGAAAGTGTAGAAGTTGTCACAGACAACAGGGCTCTAAGGAGGCATGATGATTAAACAGTGTGGTGTCCTATGTAGGATCCTGTAGCAGAAAAATAATAGTAGGTAAAAACTAAGGGAACCTAAATAGTGTAGACTTTATTTAACAATAATATGTCAATTTCTGTTCATTAATTATGACAAATGGACCATACTAATGTAAGATGTTAGTAATACTGGAAACTGGATATGGGGTATATGGGAGCTCCATATACTATTTTTGGAACATTTCTGTAAATTTAATTTTATTTTAAAATTAAAGTAAGGACTTTCATTTTCCAGTTTGGTATATAAGGAGCTTAGAAATTGTCATTGAATCAACAATAAGTAAAAAGCTGAACAAACTGAAGAATAACTGAAGAATAAACTGAACAAGCTGAATAAACTGAAGAAGGAAGTTCTTCATATATCCTTCAGAGAAGTGAGTTCACAGGACATCATTGCCCCCAAAATTTAAGAGACTGGTAGATGAACACAGAAATACAGAAATTAACAGAGCAGAAACCAGGAGCAGAAAACTCTCTGAGAACTAGTACCAGGGTAGGAAAAGCTAAACTGTAACTGACCAGTTACTGGAGACTCAGTGTGGACAGTCTGAGAGTTAAAGTCTTCAGAGATGCCCATTGTTGGGGGTGTGGGAAGGGGTGCAGTTCATGCTTTTGTGAGTTTTACCTTTAGGAGCTCTGCTCACTTCCCACAGTGAAGGCCTGGAAAAATCCCCTTACAGATTCTGCAGGCAGGAGTGAAGGGAGGGGAAACTCCCCATTTTGATATACACCAGAGCGTTCTATTCTTTGTCACAAAGCCTGTTGTCAGGAGAAACTATTTCACTAGAGTCTAAACTACTGGGGTTTTACCAGAACCTAACTGACGTGGTAGAAGGGCAATTCCCAATTCCAGCCCACTTTAGCTGTCCTGTCCCTCCTAAAGTGAGGAAGGACTGAGACACTTCCCTTGCTACAACTTACCATCACATTATTAAAGGCCTATTTACCACTGTTATTTGTATCCAGTCTATTATGTCCAGCCATCATGAAAACATTGCAAAGCATACTCAAAGTCAAAACAAAACAAAACAACACAGCTTGAAAAGATTCAACAGGCTTCAGATTCAGACTCAGATATGGCAGGGATGTTGGAATTATCAGACCAGGAGTTCAAAACAACAATAATTAATATACTAAGGATGCCAATGGATAAAGAATACAGCATGCAAGTACAGGGGGACAATGTAAGCAGAGAGATGGAAATCCTAAGAATATTTTTTAAATGCTAGAAATAAAAACACTGTAACAAAAAAGAAAAATGTATTTGATGGGCTTATCAGTAAACTGAACAGAACTGAGAAAGAATCTGTGAGCTTCAGGGTATGACAATAGAAACCTCCAAAACAGAAATTAAAAGAGAATAAAAAACTGCAAAAATTAAAAGGAGTAGAATATCCAAAAACCATGGGACTCACCTGTAAATTGCTGTACCAAAAGGAGAAGAGAGGAAGGAGCTAAATAAATATTTAAAACAATAATGACTGAGAATATCCTCCAAATTAATGTCAGATATTAAACTATAGTAACAGGAAGCTCGGAGAATTCTAAGCAGGGTAAATGCCTCCTAAACCTATATCTAGGCATATTGTATTCAAACTGTTAAAAACCAAAGATTAAAAAAAAATTCCAAAGAAGCTAGAGAAAAAATCATCTTACCTATATGGGAGCAAATATATGAATTACATTTAACCTCTCTTCAGAAACCAAGCATCCAGGAAGAGAATGGAATGAAATACTTAAAATATAGAAGAAAAAGCCACCAACTTAGAATTGTATACCTTGTGAGATTATCCTTCAAAAGTGAATGAGAAATAAAGAGTTTCTCAGACAAAAATAAACAGAATTTGTTGCTGGTAGACTTGCATTGCAAGAAATGTTAAAAGTTCTTTAGAAGAAGAAAAATGATTTAGGTTTGAAATTTGAATATACATTAATAAAGGAAAAACATAACAGAAGGAATAAGTGAAGGTAAAAGAAAAACTTTTTATTCTTAATTGATCTGACAGGTAATAGTTTGTTCAAAATAATAATAGCAACAGTAAAATAAATTATACATATATATAGTTTGTGTATATATGTATAATTGCATAAGCATACCTAAGTGTATGTGTGTATTTGCACACATTTGCATACCTAAGTATATATACATACACTTAGGCATGCTTATGTAATAGTGAAATAAATGGCAGCAACAAAACAAGGAACAAGAGAGAAGAATTAAGATTTTTTTTATTATAAAGGACTTTTACTACTTGCAAAGCATTTTAGTATTATTTGAAAGAAGACTTAGATTAGTTGTAAATGTATATTGCAAATTCCAGGGCAACAATTTAAAAAGAAGAAAATTATAACTGACATACTAAGAAGAAAGAAAAAATTGAATCATATAAAATGCTCAATTAAAATAAAAAAACAAACAAAAAAGGAAGAGTAGAAAAATAGGAACAAAGAGCAAGGACAACAAATAGAAAACAAATATGACAAATTTTAATTCATTATATCAATAATCCGTTAAACATCAGTAATCTAAATACACTAATTAAAAGACAGAGATTGTCAGAGTAGATCAAATAAGACCCAACTATATGTTGTCAACAAGAAATCCACTTTAAATATAAAGACCCATATAGAGTATGTAAAAAATGTTGAAGAAAGATATAGCATGCGAACACCAGTGAAAAGAAAGCAAGAGTATCTATATTAATTTCAAACAGCATAAACTTCAGAGCAAGGAAAGTTTTCAAGAATAAAGGGGGGGCAGGGCCAAGATGGCCGATTCAAAGCAGTGACAACTGGAGGTTCCCACAGCAAAGAACCATAACAGTGTGCAAATCCTGCACTGGCAAACGAGGGATCCAGGTTCTGTCATCAGAACTGACTAGGCAGCTAGTGTGACCCATGGAGAGGAAGGAAGAGCAGTGTGGTACGGTGGCCCACCTGAGAGCCACACAGGGCAGGGGAGTCCCCATCCCTCAGCCAAGGCAGGCAGTGAGTAAGCATGCTATCTAGCCTTGGGAAAACGTGCTTTTTCCACAGAACTGTGCAACCCATGGATTGGAAGATCCCACTACTAAGCCTATGTCACCAGAGCCTAGGGTCCCAACCATGGAGCTGCGCAGATTCTCCACAACCACTCGGTTAGAATCTTCTTAAGCCTACTGAGCTCCTGGGTGGAGGGGCGGCTAGTACCACAGCTGTGGCTGCCTGCTGTCTAAGCCCTTTGAGCTCCTTGGGGGAGGGGCGACAGTCAACACTGGGACTGATAGCTGCCTAACACACCAAGCTACCAGGGTTGGGGAGGGGCAGCACCATCTCTCTAGGTCCAGGCCACACTTTTCCCCTGCTGAAGCCAGGGAAGCTGGGTGGCTTGGTCCCAAGAGGTATCCATCATAGCCCAACACACCAGCTCTGGCAGACTATGGACAGAGTGTCTCTTCAGCCCTGACCAGACCCATCCCTTCTCCTCACTGTGAGGTGGGAGGCCCTCGCTACAGGAACTCCAACAACTCCAGCCAGGGTCTCAGGGACATAACTCTAACCTCCCTGGGCCTGAGCCCTTAGGGGGAGGGGTGACCACAGTCTCCATGGATCAGCAGACCTATTCTTTCCTCCTGCTAGCTCTGAGGAATCTGGGCAGCCCAGACGAGTGAGTTTCCCCCCAGCGAAGCACACCTCCTCCACCAAGGGACAGTCAAAGTGCTTTGTTAAACAAGTCATGCTCCCCATGCCACCCAACTGGGTGAGACCTCTAACAGGGGTTGTCAGACATCCAACACAAGAGCGTTCCTACTGGCTTCAGGTCAGTGCCCCATGAGGTCAGAGATCCCAGAGGAAGGAGCAGGCACCCATCTTTGCTGTTCCCCAGCCTCCTTGAGTGCCACCTCCAAGTGTGGGAGTGAACCAGATGAATAGGGCCTGAACTGAAGCCCCAGCAAACCTCCTCAGCAGCCCTACAGAAGAGGTACCTGACCATTGCAAGAAAAATGAACAAACAGAAAGCAACAACAACAGCATCAACAAGAAAACGTCCCCACAAAAGCCCCATCCAAGAGTCAGCAGCTATAAAGATCAATACTAGACAAACTCATCAAGATGAGAAATAATGAAAAAATCCTGAAGACCCAAAAGGCCAGAGTGACTCTTCCCCTCCAAATGATTGCAAAGCCTTTCCAACAAGGACACAGAACTGCAGGAGAACAAGATGGGTGAGTTGACAGAAGTAGGCTTCAGAAGGTGGGTAATAATAAACTCCACTGAGCTAGAAAAGGATGTTCTAACCCAATGCAAAGAAGCTAAGAACCTCGATAAAAGGTTAGAGGAGTTGCTAACTAGAATAACCAGTTTAGAGAGGAACATAAATGACCTGTTAGAGCTGAAAACCACAGCACAAGAACCTCGTGAAGCCCACACAAGTATCAGAAACCAAATCAATCAGTGGAAGAAAAAATATCAGAGTTTGAAGACCATCTTACTGAAATAATGCATACAGACAAGATTAGAGAAAATATAATGAAAAAGAACCAACAAAACTTCTGAGAAATATAAGACTATGTAAAAAGAATGAGCATATGATTGATTGGAGTATCTGAAAGGGACAGGGAGAATAGAACCACATTGGAAAACACACTTCAGGATATTATCCAGGCAAACTTTCTCAATCTCACAAGACAGGCCAACATTCAAATTCAGGAAATACAGAAACCGCCACTAAGATACTCCATGAGAAGATCAACCCCAAGACACGTAATTGTCAGATTCTCCAAAATTGAAATGAAGGAAAAAATGTTAAAGGCAACCAGAGAAAAAGGCCAGGTCATCTACATAGGGAAAGCCATCAGGCTAACAATGGACCTCTCAGTAAAAACCCTACAAGCCAGAAGAGAGTGGGGGCCAATATTTAACATTCTTAAATAAAATAATTTTCAACCCAGAATTTCATATCCAGCCAAACTAAGCTTTACAAGTGAAGGAGAAATAAAATGCTTTGTAGACAAGCAAATGCTGAGGGATTTAGTCACAACCAGGCCTGCCTTGCAAGAGTTCCTGAAGGAAGCACTAAATATGGAAAGAAAAACTGGTACCAGCAAATGCAAAAACACACGAAAATATAAAGACAAATAACACTATGAAGAAACTGCATCAACTACTGTGAAAAATAACTAGATAGCATCATGATGACAGGATCAAATTCACACATAACAATATTAACCTTAAATGTAAATGGGCTAAATGTCCCAATTAAAAGACACAGACTGGCAAGTTGGATAATGAGTCAAGACCCATTGGAGTGCCAAAATCAGCAGACTTATCTCATGTGCAAAGACACACATAGGCTCAAAATAAAGAAATGGAAGAAAATTTACCAAGCAAATGGAAAGAAAAAAAAAAAGCAGGGGTTGAAATCCTAGTCTCTGACAAAACAGACTTTAAACCAAGAAAGATAAAAAAGACAAAAAAGGGCATTACATAGTGGTAAAGAGATCAATTCAACAAGAAGAACTAACTATTCTAAATATATATGCACCCAATATGGAGTACACAGGTTCATAAAACAAGTTCTTGAAGACCTACAAAGAGACTTAGACTCCCTCACAATAACAGTGGGAGACTTTAACACACCACTGTCAATATTAGACAGATCAACAAGACAGAAAATTAACAAGGATATTCAGGACTTGAACTCAGCTTTGGATCAAATGGACCTAATGGACATCTACAGAACTCTCTACTCCAAATGAACAGAATATACATTCTTCTCAGTGCCACATGGCACTTATTCTAAAATTGACTACATAATTGGAAGTAAAATATTCCTCAGCAAATGCAAGAGAACTGAAATCATCACAAACAGTCTCTCAGACCACAGTGCAATCAAATTAAAACTCAGGATTAAGTAACTCACTGAAAGCCACACAACTACACATAAATTGAACAATCTGTTCCTGAACGACTCCTGGGTAAATAATGAAATTAAGGCAGAAATCAAGAAGTTCTTTGAAACCAATGAGAATAACGAGACAACATACCAGAATCTCTGGGACATAGCTAAAGCAGTGATAAGAGGGTAATTTATAGCACTAAATACTGACATCAGAAAGCAGAAAGATCTGAAATTGACACCCCAACAGCACTATTAAAAGAGCTAGAGAAGCAAGAGCAAGCAAATACAAAAGCTAGCAGAAGACAAGAAATAACTAAGATCAGAGCAGGACTGAAGGAGATAGAGACTCAAAAAGCCTTCAACAAATCAATGAAACAGGAGCGGGTTATTTGAAAAAATTAACAAAATAGACCACTAGTTAGACGAATAAATAAGAAAATAAAAAAGAATAAAATAGACACAATAAAATGATAAAGGGGATATCACCACTGACTCCACAGAAATACAAACTACCATCAGAAAATACTATAAACACCTCTGTGCAAATAAACTAGAAAATCTAGAAGAAATGTATAAGTTCCTGGACACATACACCTTCCCAAGACTAAACCAAGAAGAAGTCAAATACCTGAATAAACCAATAACAGGTTCTGAAATTGAGACAGAAATTAATAGCCTACCAACCAAAAAAAAGCCCAGGATCAGATGAACTCACAGAGATCAGATGAACTCTACCAGAAGTACAAAGAGGAGCTGGTACCATTCCTTCTAAAACTATTCCAAGCAATTGAAAATGAGGGACTCCTCCCTAACTCATTTTATGAGGCCAGTGTCATCCTGGTACCAAAATCTAGCAGAGACACAACAAAAAAAGAAATCTTCAGACCAATATCCCTGATGAACATTGATGCAAAAATCCCCAGTAAAATACTGGCAAACCAAATCCAGCAGAACATCAAAAAGCTTATCCACCATGATCATGTCAGCTTCATCCTTGAGATGCAAGGATGGTTCAACATACACAAATCAATAAACGTAATCCATCACATAAAGAGAACCAATGACAAAAACCACGTGATCCTCTCAATAGATGCAAATAAGGCCTTTGATAAAATTCAACATACCTTAATGTTAAAGCCTCTCAATAAACTAGGTATTGATGGAACATATCTCAAAATAGTAAGAGCTATTTATGACAAACCCTCAGCCAGTATACTGAAAGGACAAAAGCTGGAAGCATTCCCTTGAAAACTAGTACAAGACAGGATACCCTCTTTCACCACTCCTATTCAACATAGTATTGGAAGTTCTGGCCAGGGAAGTCAGGCAAGAGAAAGAAATAAATGGTATTCAAATAGGAAAAGAGGATGTCAAATTGTCTCTGTTTGCAAATGACATGATTCTGTATTAAGAAAATTCCATGCTGTCAGCCCCAAAACTCCTTAAGATGATAAGCAACTTCAGCAAAGTCTCAGGACACAAAATCAATGTGCAAAAATCACAAGCATTCCTGTACACCAACAATACACAATCAGAGAGCCAAATCATGAATGAATTTACATTCATAATTGCTACAAAGAGAATAAAATACCTACGAATACAGCTAACAAGGGATGTAAAGGACCTCTTCAAGGAGAACTACAAACCACTGCTCAAGGAAATAAGAGACAACGCAAACAAATGGAAAAACATTCCATCTTCATGAATAGGAAGAAGCAATATCATGAAAATGGCCATAATGCCCAAAGTAATTTATAGATTCAATGCTACTCTCATTAAATTACCATTGACATTCTTCACATAATTAGAAAAAAACTACTTTAAATTTCATATGGAACCAAAAAAGAGCCCGTATAGCCAAGAAAATCCTAAGCAAAAAAGAACAAAGCTGGAGGCATCACACTACCTGATGTCAAACTATACTACAAGGCTACAGTAACCAAAACAGCATGGTACTGGTACCAAAACACACATATGGATCAATGGAACAGGACAGAGACCTCAGAAATAACACCCCCCATCTACAACCATTTGATCTTCAACAAACTGGACAAAAACAAGCAATGGGGAAAGGATTCCCTATTTATTAAATGGTGCTAGGAAAACTGGCTAGCCATACTCAGAAAACTGAAACTGGACTCTTGTCTTACACTTTATACAAAAGTTAACTCAAGATGGATTAAAGACTTAAATGTAAAACCCAAACCATAAAAACCCTAGAAGAAAACCTATGCAATACTATTCAGGACGTAGGCATGGGCAAAGACTTCATGATGGAAATGCCAAAAGCAATTTCAACAAAAGCCAAAATCGACAAATGAGATCTAATTAAATTAAAGAGCTTCTGCAGAGAAAAAGAAACTATCGTCAGAGTAAGCAGGCAACCTACAGAATGGGAGAAAATTTTTGCAATCTACTCATCTGACAAAGATCTAATATCCAGAATCTATGAGGAACTTAAACAAATTTACAAGAAAAAAACAAACCATACCATCAAAAAGTGGACAAAAGATATGAACAGACACTTTTCAAAAGAAGACATTTATATGACCAACAAACATATGAAGAAAAGCTCAGCGTCACTGATCATTAGAGAAATGCAAATCAAAACCACAGTGAGACACCATCTCATGCCAGTCAGAATGGCAATTATTAAAAAGTCAAGAAACAATAGATGCTGGTGAGGCTGTAGAGAAATACAAAAGCTTTTACACTCTTGGTGGGAATGTAAATTAGTTCAACCATTGTAGAAGACAGTGTGGTGATCCCTCAGGGGTCTAGAAATACCATTTGGCCCAGCAATCTCATTACCAGGTATATACTCAAAGGAATATAAATCATTCTACTATAAAGATACATGCACACATATATTTATTGCAGCACTATTTACAATAGCAAAGGCATGGAACCAACCCAAATGCCCATCAACAACAGACTGAATAAAGAAAATGTGGTATATATACACCATGAAATACTATGCAGCCATAAAAAGGAATGTGATCATGTCATATTCAGGGACATGGATGAAGCTGGAAGCCATCATCCTCAGCAAACTAACACAGGAACAGAAAACCAAACAATTCATGTTCTCATTCATAAGTGGGTGTTAAACAGTGGGAAAACATGGACACAGGGAGGGGAACAAACAAGAGCCAGTTGAGGGGTGACGGGAGAGGGGAGGGAGAACGTTAGGACAAATAGCTAATGCACGTGGGGCTTAAAACCTTGATGATGGGTTGATAGTTGCAGCAAACCACCATGGCACAGGTATATGTATGTGACAAACCTGCACATTCTGCACTTGTATCCCAGAATTTAAAGTACACACACACACACAAAAGAATAAAGAGGAAAATTGTGTAACAGTAAAAGACTCGATTATTTAAGAAGACATAATAATTTTTAATGTGTGTGCACTTAACAACAGTGTCAAAATTTATGAGAAAAAAATGCATGGAACATTGCAGAGAAATATATGAATCCACTTTTATTGTTGGAAAATTCAAACTCCTTTATCAGATATGAACAAATTTAGCAGGCAGAAAATCACTAAGTGCTCAGCAGCCCTGTCAATCTATTAGATATAATTGACATCTATACATGAATTCATTTGATAGCAGGAGACTACACATTTTTTACAAGCTCAAATCAAACCATCATTCTGAGCCGTAGAACACACCTTAACATATTTTTAAAAATCAGACATCATACAACATCTGCTGGCAGATCATGATGGAATTTCACTAGAAATCAATAATAGAAAGATAGCCACAAAATAAAAAAAATTGAGATTAAACAATATACATTGAAATAACATATAGGTCAAATAAATCTTCAGGGAAATGAAATAATATTTTGAACTTCATAAAAATTAAAATACCACTCATTCAAATGTGTGGGCTTCAATCAAAATAGTGATTAGAGAAAAATTTGCAGTATTGAATAACATATTAGAAAAAAATTGAAAGATCTAAAATCAATTAGGAAGCTTGAAAAAGTACAGCAAATTGAGTCCAAAGTAAGCAGAAAAAATGTAATAATAATTAGAACTGAAATCAAGGAAATTTGCAATGGAAAATCAAAAGAAAAAAATCAATAAAATCTAAAGCTGTTTCTTTAAAAGGTCAGTAAAATCAATAATCCTCTAGTCAGGCTAATTAAAGAGAGAAAGAGAAACAAGATGAAAAAACTATACATCAAAAGTGAAAGATGAGACATCACTGCAGATCCCATGAATATTAAAAAATAATAAAGGAATATTATGAACAATTCTACGCCCACAAAATTGATTACCTAGATAAAACAAACCCTTTCCTTGAAATACACAACGTTCCAAAACTCACAGAAGAAGAAATAAGCATTTTGAATTGGCCTATATCTATTAAATAAACTTAGTCAATAATTAATCACCTTCTCAAACAGAAAAAATGATGCTCAGTGGGTTTACTGGTGAATTCTACCATACATTTAAATAAACTGGACCAATTCTCTACTTTCTCTTTCAGAGGACAGAACTGGAGAGAATACTTTCTAAGTTGTTCTAGGAGACCAGCATTACCCTAATACTAAAACCAGATAAAGGCATTGCAAGTAAAGAAAACTACAGACCATTATCTCTGGGTGACTTGGGGTATGGTGGTGACTTTCAGATATCATAACAAAGATATGATTTGTGAAAGAAAAATGGATAGGCTGGACTTCATTAAAATTTAAAATTTCTGCTTTGCAAAAGACAGTGTCAAGAGAATGAGAAGACAAGACACAGACTTGGAGAAAATATTTGCAAAGAATATCTGATAAAGGACTGTTAAAATATACAAAAATGTCATAAAACTAAACAATAACAAAATGAACAACCTGATTTTTTTAAAAATTAGTAAATGACCTCACCAAAGACCCTACATTGATTGCAAGTAAACATATGAAAAGATGCCCTACCTCATGTAGTTGAAGAATTGCAAATTAAAACAATAAGATACCACTACAGAACTATTAAAATTGTTAAAATGCAAAACACTGACAACAGAAAGTATTGTCAAGATGTGGAGAAACAGAAACTCTCATTCATTGATGGTGGAAATGCAAAATTGTACAGCCACTTTGAAAGACAGTTTTGCAGTTTCCTATAAATCTAAAGCTACTTTTACCATAATATCCAGAAATCATGCTCTTTGATATTTACCCAAAGCAGCTGAAAACCTATGTCTACACAAAACCATGCATACAGATGTTTATAGCAGCTTTATTCATGATTGCCAAAACTTAAAAGCAACTAAGACGTCTTTCAGTATGTGAATGGTTAAGGAAACTGTGGTACATGAAGACAATGAAATATAATTTATTGCTAAAAAAACGAGTATCAGTTTATAAAAAGACAGGGAGGAATCTTGAGTGCATACTACTAACTAAAAAACAAACTAATTGCAAAATGCTACATGCTATATTATTTCAATTATATGGCATTCTGGAAAAGGAAAAACTACAGAGACTGGTAAAAAAAAAAAAAAAAAAAAAATCAGTGGTTACCAGGACTTAGTGGAGAGGGAGCGATGAATAGGTAGAACACAGAAGATTTTTATGACAGTAAAGTCTCCTCAGTATGACAGTATAATGGTGGATGCATGTCGTTATGCATTTGTCCAAACCCATAGAGTGTACTATACCAAAGTGAACCTTAATGTAAGCTACAGACTTTGGGTGATAATGATATATTGACGTAGTTTCATTAATGTAATAAATGCATCAGTCTGCTGTGGGATTTTCTTATTGGAGGAGGCTATGTCTATGTTGGGGAAAAAGGTATATGGGAAATCTATCTTCTCTCTCAATTTTTATATGACTCTAAAATTGTTCTAAAAAGTAAAGCCTATTAAAAATAAACAGCTAAATAAATAAATATAATAGTTAAAATGAAAAACACAAAAATGGAATGAAGAGCAGAGTGGTTACAGTGGTGAATGAATTAGTGAATTTAAAGGTACAAATGAGAACTGTCCCAAAAGATAACAGGATGTAAAAATGAAATGGCAGGGCATGGGAAAAATTAAGAAACCCAGAAAATACAAATAGAAGTTGCCATTTCTGAATGATAAGATTTTCAGAAAAGGAGAAAAAAATACATATATAAATATGTATGTATCTATGTGTATATGTACATTTGTACATGTACATACACTTAAATGTATATGTAATATGCACATATATGTATGTGTGAATTTATAAATACATGTGCAATTCACACACATATGACAAAAAGAAAAATATTGAAGAAGTAATGATTATATATTTTATAGAAATAAGGAAAAATGAAAGGCCCCAAACTAAAAATGTTCATCAGAAGTTAAATAGTATAGATAAGAAAAATTCCTCACCCAGACATATTTTAGTAAAATTTAAAGACATCAAAATGAAAATACATTTATTAACAGTCCCCAGAGAGAGATCACATCTAAAAGAATAAAAATCAGAATGACAGTGGACACCTAACAGTGATATTTCTGATGATGAATTAATATTTTAAAACATTGAAAGTAAAAGATTTTGAACCCAGATTCTACATCTGCACTAATTATTAATTAAATATAAAGATTCAATGCATATATATTCAAATGTGTTATATCTCAAAAAAATTGCTACACAAAGCCTTTTTTGTCAGAAACAATTTTAAAGACAGAAGTATAGCCAGTGGATTCCACAGAAGGACATAATTCCATAGGATCCAGTCTTTGGGAATAATACAAAAATGAAACAAAGAAAATTTTATTTCAATTTTCCACTGAATTTTTATTGAATGTTAAAATACACACCCCCTCCCAGTTTCACTATGGGATTATTTGAGCAAAAACAAAATCTTTAAGTGTTAACCTCAACCTGCCTGAAGTTGTTAACATATGTGCAGAAGGTTGTATTAATAACTGCACAGACTCCATCTTGTTTAGCTAGTAAATAATTCAACACTAGTCTGTTATTGAGAACTACATTTCCCAAAGAGTCTAAAGATTATTTAATTCCCTTTAGTGCCCACCTGTGTTGGTGGCTAAGGATTCCAGGGTTTGAGTCAAGTTCTTTAGTGTTGACTCATGTTGGAAAAAGCTACCCCAGAGTGCCACTAGTGTTGTTGCTGCCCCAATTCCCACCAGAGTTAATCCTATTACTCACTTAATTCTGGTGTTGCTGGACCCTTCTGGGTTTTACACTGTGACCCCTTAGGGGGCAAGGGTGGCCAGTATGCATTCACCCGTGTTCCTCATTTTTGATATACAAGGGAAAACTACTCCTAAAATAACAGTTAGCTCCCTGGGGAGTTGGGAATGGTTATGGAGTGTGTTTTTCCCACTCACAGCCACAAATAAAAATGAGCCCAGTTGGAGCACAAATAGAGGACCTACAGGGTATAATGTCTACCCTTTTGTGTCAAGTTGGAACTATAGAAATATTCTTCTCAAATGGTGGTGGCCAAACAATCTTTGTTTTCTAAAAAGGAGCAGTACTCCCACCTTCCCAGATTAGGCAGTCGTTTTTCCCCTGTATGTTTTGTTTTTGGAGAAGCCATTATATATGGTGTCCTTGATTACAAGTAGAATCCCATTTACCTCTCTGTGGCCCTGGGAACTTGTCAACTAGAGATGGATCAGAGCATCACAGGGAAACTTCTGCCTTTTTGTCATTAACACAAAAGTGGGTGCAAAAGATAGAATCATGAGTGCACTGGAGATATAGATACACAACTTCCCAGCTCCAGGTAATAGTAGCAGGGATGGGGAGTTGCATGGAATCCATTAGGTAAGGGAGAGTTCCACTTAAAAAGTAGGGGTTTGGGTACTTTGGGATTGCTAGTTAAGAGGTCTGGGGAGATGGCCATGAAAATTTCTAGATAAGCCAGGAGGTAAAGCTCTCTGTCCTGGGGATATTAATGACTAATCTAGTGACCATAAAAATGATTTCCTAGTGCTATAACTTTTGAAATATTTACTATAGAATTTTGTTTCCTCCCACACTGGATCAGGGTAATTGGGAGAGAAAACAAGATGAACAGTGGCAGCACAGTGTCCAGATGGGCTTTAGAGTGGCCTCTACATCCCACAAGGAAAAAAAAAAAGGTGTTTCCCAGGAGGAGGTGGTTGGCAAATTTGATAGAAAAGAAGCATTATAATCAAGAAGAAGAGAAAAATTGATGTTTCTATTACTATCCACACCATCACATTACCACTTTTGGCTGAGTGTTGATTTTTTAAAATAAATATCAGAAGTTTTCCAAAGGTTCATAGATGCGGACCATGGTGTCCTCCTTTTGTGACTGCAACTCATAAAAAACAGGTTTAATCCTGGACAGGGGTACCCAACTAGTGATTTCCTGAAGATTAACAGAAGTGGGGGTACTTAATAATAGCAAATAAGGGCTCTTTCATTTTGGTTGTAATTGATCTTTGGGGAATCTTTCTTTAAAGTTTTTACAAAGATTAAGTCTTCTAGGAGAAGGCAATACTTTATTTTTGTATTTTTGAAGGGCTTTGTGAACCTAGCCTAAATTTTAAAGGAGTCATAGGTGTATCTAACCCCATGATTTTTGTAATGGCTTGAGTTAGCTTTTCAGGGATTTGGGGGATTTCCTTTGTCCAAGGGACTTAGTGTCAAAAGACTTATATTTAATTAAACATTCTAGGCCAGACAGGAATGGATATGGGCAGATACTCATTAGCCCTTAAATTATTTTTAAGCAATATGAGTCAAAAACTAAAAGCCAGAAATAAGATTATATGTCAATAAGAGACCAGAGTATAGAATCAGGCTATATTGAGAGAAAACACTGCTCCCACAGAGTTTTAAGTAAAAACACTTTAGCATCTGGCCATAATGGTAGTCAGAACAGGAAGAGAAAAAGTCATGGGAGCTGACAAAAAGCTAAAGGAGAGAGTTACATGAATCTGAGAAGCTTTTAAAAGAAATAGGTTACAGGATTGTAAAGCAAAATTTCTGGTAATTTTGCAAATTAATATCTTAAGAAAATTTGGTTTTAACAGGTAGAATATTTTTAGGAAGTCTATTATAAATAATTTTCTTTTAATTACAGCTAAAATTTAATCACGGAAATTTATTTCATATATTTCCCTTCATGAATCTTATTATAACCCACACAGATCATCTACAACATGCTTGGACTTTATGACTTGTTTTACATTATCTCTTTCCTAAATAACCAACTATTTTTTTTTTTAGGACAAAAACTTACCATATAAGATTATTTTTTATACAATATTACTCTTTTTTATACTCTTCCTTGCCAAAAAATATATTTTCTCTCTGTAACATTCTTTACATCTCTTTTGTTCTACTCATTGGTTCCATTATATTTTGAACCTCTCTTTTAATAATTTCTGAATTAGACAGAAATTATTATTTTCCCAATACATAATATGTTTATTTAGCACTTCCTTTTTTTATAAACCTAGGAAGAAATAAATTCTGAACTGCCAACCAGACATTGGCATTCTGCAGGTGAAGATAACTTTATAATTTTAAGATTTGTAACTAAGCGAAAAGCTCACTGTTCAAAGCCATTTTAACCATTCAAAAGCTACAAATGCCAGTGGCTAATCTTAAAGTTAACTTTTAGAAGACACAGCATTTTTTTGTTTGTTTGTTTGTTTGTTTGTTTGTTTGACAGAGTTTCGCTCTTGTTGCCCGTGCTGGAGTGAAATGGCATGATCTCGGCTCACCACAACCTCTGCCTCCCAGGTTCAAGTGATTCTCCTGCCTCAGCCTCCCTAATAGCTGTGATTACAGGCATGTGCCACCACGCCCCACTAATTTTGTATTTTTAGTAGAGACGGGGTTTCTCCATGTTGGTCAGGCTGGTCTCGAACTCCTGACCTCAGGTGATCCACCTGCCTTGGCCTCTCAAAGTGCTGGGATTACAGGTGTGAACCATTATGCCCAGCCCACAGCATTTTTTTTAACTAACAAATTTAGACTAGTCATTTCTTTGATTTATCAGCATTTTTTATTTATAAGCTAAACTGATATCAAGCAAGACACAACACACACTGCAATACCTGTATATACATTAAAAAAAAATCAAACAAAGTGACCAAACAACTAAATTCAAGTTATTTATGAAATTGTGACCTGTATACCTGGCCAAATTTTGTTTACCCTGAAAGGTACAGAAGACAGGAAGAGGCAGGAAGGGGATCCTATAACATTAAATACAAAAGAAAGTGGGTGAATGGCATTGCTCAAGGGGAAAACTCAGAGTCCCTGAGTGACTGGAGAGCTCACACAGCAGTGAAGACACCAAAGAAAGATATTCAGGTAGACACTTGTGTGCCACTGTGGCAAGCTGTCTATCAGGTCATGGGCCTGAGATCCCCAATAAACTTATTTGAGTAAGGTAGCTCATTAGGGCTAGTGGAAAGAGTTTATCTCTAATATTGATGGCGAAGCTTTTCCTCTTTCACCAGGGATGGCTTAGATGTTCTCATTGCCAGTGGCCCTAATTCTGGCCCATGGTCTGGCAAACTGGGGCTCTTGTCTGGACATTCTAGATGTTGATCTCACAACACTTTCTCAGGATGGGTAATTTTGAGGTGGTGAGGAACTAAATAAATTGTTAATAATTGTACTTTTTTGGCTATTTCTTTTTTTTTCTTTTTTTTTTTTTTGCCTCTTCTTCTGCCTTGTCCCTGTAGTTGTGAACCCCAAAGGCCATGTTTAAGAGTTGGCTCATGAGAGTTTGAGGTTCTACTGCTGTTTTCATAGCTTCCTCCTGATGTCAGGGGCAGATTGAGTAATAAAATGTATACCCAGGAGAGCTTGCCCTTCCAAGGGGTCCAGATCTGTATTAGCATATTTCCTGAGTGTCTTAATCAAGCAACCCTGAAATGGAGTGAGAGTTTTGTTGTTTATGTGAATTATTTCTCTAACCTTGTCATAATTGATTGGCATAATTGCTCACTTTTTCTTCTGCTTTGTTTTTTTCCATAGCATAGCAAGCTGATGACAATACTTGCTAGTTATGACAAATTAAAGAAAGTAGTGAACTTAAACTTCTCTGTAAGCTTTTCCAGATCCTCTGAAAGCTGGCAAAATTTCCCTTGTATAAAACTAAATCATGTATATAAAATGGAACATGTAACCTGAGTATTACTTCATTTTCACCAACTACCTCCCTACAATGAACACAGGTTTTATTTTAAGGGCTGATATGAGGCCTCACTCCTGCAGGTACTGGTTGAATTTAATTTATTGGACAGTGGGGGGTATAGGCTGGGGCTTGTTAAATAAGGTGCAGGGTTACCTGATGACTTTGGAATGGAATCCTTCTTTAGAGAAGTAGTGGGACACTCCCCTTGGAATTGGAGGAATGAGGAGACTCTGAGGAGGTCATAGGCCTTCCAGGAGGAGCAACTATGAGAGGATTTCTTAGGCATGGCTTTCTTGTGCCTGGAAGTAAGATGATCCAGTAAAGGGCCACAAAAGTCTGAACATAGATCTTTTCCCATTTTCCTTCTTTTTTACAGAAAACAATGCCTCATTGTAAAATAGCATTATAATGTAAAGAAACATGGCTAAGTCAGATATGCTCATTTTAAAATTTGTATTGAACTCAAGAGGTGTTGCAGTAGAAAATGAGTTTCTTTTTCTTTAAATTGAATTTGAATTTGCTCCAATAGCCTAAAAGACACCCTAGTGGAGAGTCTACTGGAATGCTTGTCATTATCTCCGTTTCTGACAAGAATTTCTACTGGACGCAGAAGTTTTTGTAAATCTACTGAGAGGGAAAGCAAGTGGGCCTTTGCTACTTTTCCCTTTTAAATTCTCACTTCCTGAACAGAAGGTGTAAGTGTAGTTAACAACGCATCATGAGAATGGAATATAAGTGTTTACCAGTGAATGAAATACTACCAAAGAAGTATTTTTTATTAAGTAAAGTGTAGAAGGAAAATTATATATAAAGTTACAATAAGAAATAAAAATATTATTATAGAAAATGATAATTTCAGGGCAGAAAACAAGAAAAGGCAAGACCAAGATAACCCTAGGCTGGGCCTCTACTCCACAATCCTAGAGGGAATGTCAGGGCTGAAAACCCCAGAGCATCTGGTGACAAGGGGTGGCCAAAAATACCAAATGCCAAAAACCCAGACTACCCGAGTATCAGCCAATGAGGGTCCCCACATCAAAAGCTGCAAACCCTAGAGTATCTGGGAGCCAACCAATGCAGAATCAACACAATGGGGGACCTCTCACAATCAAGTGTCCTGCCTTATACAATTGCCCAAATATAGTTAACAGAAAGTCAAAGCAACGAAACTGCCAACAAAAAATATATTTTAGAACTAAAAAAGATGGCTGGCAGAGCAATAAAAGTGATTAAAAGGATCATGGAAAGGGATGACAAGGACGTGTTTTGGGGAACTCAAACAATGGGGAACTTTTAACTGACCACTTAGACGAAGGCTTTCATTCCCTAGCTCATCCAATATTATCAGGGGAGGGGGAAGAAGAGGGAACCCACACACATCCACAAAAGACAAAATGGCACTGACTGGTCTTCCACATGGGACTCAGGTGAAAGTGTCTTCAGGTTCTCCCAACATGGGTGGGCTCAGGTGCTGTGGTGGGAGAGGCCAGCATGAGGTCTGGCAACCCACCAGCCTGCTGGTCAGAGCATCAGGTCCCACACAAGGCAGCATCACTATGGCTGCTTGTCCATTCACCCAACTCCACTGCCTGCTAGGAAAGATGATGACTCTGAGACCCTTTGTCTACTCTTAGCACTTGCAGTGTTAACAATTCTTTGGTGTTACAGCCTCAGTGATGCAGCTCTTGCAGCCTCAATCACTGACTGCTTCATTTTCTCTCCACTTGTTGCTGCTCTGCACATCCGTGGTTGTCTCTTGCTGTTGCCTTGCCATCTGCCAACCACCACCTCTCTCACTGTCTCTCACACTGTTGTGTTATCTCTTCTGCCCCCACATTAGGTGCCACTTGATGCAGAGCAGGTAAGCCCCACAATGAGGTTTATCCAGGAGATTCTTGGCTCCACTCAGGAAAGAATTCAAGAGTGAGTCGAAGGTAGAAGAAAACAGCTTTCTTGAGGTGGCACAACTCCTGCAGAGTAGAGCAACCTCATAGGCCGTGTTTTGAGAGTAGCAGCTCAGGGGCAGTTCTGCAGTCATATTTATACCTATTTCTAATTACATGCAAATTAAAGAACAGTTATTCAGAATTTTCTAGAAAAAGGGTGGTAACTTCTGGGCCATTGCCATGGAAAGAGATGATAACTTGTGGACATTGCCGTGGCAATGGTAAACTGACATGGCACTGGTGGGCGTGTCTTAGGGAGAGGTGCTTTCACCTCTTCCTTGTATCAAACTTCAATCTGCTCCAACATAAAGTCCTACCTCCTAGCTCAATCTGACTTATTTTATGTTAAATCATTTAACAGAAGATATGTATTACAGTCAGAAATTTGGAAGTTGAATATGTTCCAATGAAAAAATATAAAAAGAAAAGCTGTATATTTATAAAAAAGGAAATTGAGATGCAAAGGAGTCTTCAGAATTTAAAGCCAGTAAATTACAGATGATAAGTCTCAAACCCTAGTATGTTTGCCTCCTATTGCCATGACTTTCCTGTAGTAATTCTTCCTTATTATTTTTTAGTTTTAGTTTATTTTTAATGTACATTTTATACAAGGCATTCAGGTAAGGATAAAAAGGTGAGCATACAAAAATTCTAAAATAATGAAGACAGTTTTAAATGCCATAGGAGAGAGGTACAAGCAAAGAGGTGCACATAGAATTGTTTGTTAAAGACTTAGTGGAAGAATAAATATATCAAATGGCTTCAGAATAGGAGCAGCTTAGGATTTTCACAGAAAATGAAATAAAGAGCATATTATGGGTAGAAAAAATAATGTGAGCAAGGGCACAGAGTCTGAAAAGAATGAAATATGATTAGAGAGTAAAATAAATAGTACAGTTGAGCTTAAGAAGTGTTTTCTAGACACTAATACATGTTTAAGAAAGAAAGAAAGAAAGAGAAAGAAAGAGAGGGAGAGGGAAGGAGGGAATGAGCTAGGAAGGAAGCAGCAATGGAAGGGAGGGAGGGAGGGAAGCAATCAATGAACAAATGAAAGGTCTTGAATAGCAGGCTGAGAATTTTCAAATTAATTCAAGAGAAAAATGGGTTTAACTAATGCTATTTCGTTTTTCAAGATTGTCTGCTGGCTTCCTTCTAGCAAATGCAGTTCAGAATTGGTGATCGTAGTGTATAGAGTTTTGGTTTTAGTCACATAAATATATGATTCTTACTGTCCCTTTCTTGGGATGATAACCCGGAAGAGGGAAAGCAAATAGCATTTCACGCAGGGGGCCAGATAAATTATAAGTCCAGTCAGAACCCAAGCAAAATAAACAATGTTTCTGAAACACAAGTTATGACCAAAAAGAATGGATGAATTATTATTCTGGCATTTTCTTTGTTATTTATGTCCAGAAATCGATCAAGCTGAAGGAACAGAATAATTTATAAATCAGGTGCCGTCAAATACTTGTGACTCTCAACTGGTATAACCTGTCCCAGAATTCCAAAAAGATTTGATGACAATAGAAAATAATCTTATTACAAGCCTGACATTAATCATCAAATACATATTATTCTAACCTGATACAAAAATATGAATTAAAAATACAATAGCTGCTGGAAACAGAAGTGCCCACTGACTGTATAAAACCATTTCTCCTTCCTCACCACACCTTATTTAATAAAAATAGATGTAGGTGATGGAACGTTTATTATGGAGACAAGTTAACCAAAAAGACCTGTCAATTTGATGGAGGAGGTTATTTGTTCAACAAAATATCCAAGCACATGAAGCAATCTGGAAATCCAATAGGAAAGCAGAAACAGCCTGCTTCCTGCTTTTGCTTTCCCCCACCTGTCTTTTTGGCCAGAAATAAATATCTGAAGAGAATTGATTAGAAGTATATACATAGCTTCATGAACATATTTTGCTTCATCAAATTCAGAAGGACTAGAAGGTGTTTGGTCATCTCATGAGAGCAGAATTTAGAACAAGGATCTTGTTAGAAACTACTAGGCAATCAATCTCTCTCTCTTTCTAGCGGTTGTGTGGTCTCCCTACCCATTTTATTCAATGGACCTACACTCATGTGGTCAGTCTCTCAACTAAACTACATTAACTAAATTAATAGATATCTGATAAATAATTTAGAATTCCAAGAAATCAGTTTAACAATAAAGATAAAGGTTTATAATTGGCAGGCAGAACAAATGTTTCCTATCAGCCTATTAGTGTACCATTTTTCTATAGGCTGCATGCTAAGAAAGGGTCTAATTGGAAGGTATTTTTGTGATCAGAAAAAGAGAAGTTAATTAGGCAGTATCAATGGCTCATGGCACCAAGATGATTACTGATGTTTTTTTTTTCTATTCCTAAGTTGGATCTGAAATGGCCTCACTCAGGGGACTCTCTGTTCTACATAGTGTCAGACTGAGCTGTTTTTATTCATTTGTTCATTTTTCAGGATGAGCTATTTACACTGTGGTCCAAAACATCTTCAATTTTTAGTAGCTTAAAGCCACACAGGTTTATTTCTCACACATACCACATGTCCGTGTTGAGCTAGTACCTGTGCTGGCTCAGGGTTTCAGCCTGATGAGAGCCTTCACATCAGGAATCTCACCAGTTATTGCTCCAGGGAAAAGGAGGGAAGGCAAATTGTGCACTAACTCTTAACTGCTTGGCCTTGGAAATGAAAGACAAAGCTTCCTCTCATATTCCATTGGCTAAAGAAAGAAAGATGATCATGCCTGACTTCAGAGCACAGGACATTTCAAACATATTTCACACCTTTAAAAATGAGAATTAGAATATTACAAACAGCCCTATTATCTTTCAAAACATTTTTGCTGTTGTGTTCAGCTTTCTAGATACATTTTTTCTTTTTCATAGTAAGTCATACTAATTGTCTGTAGTGTGGTTTTAGATTTGTTAATGGTATACATTCAAATTCTCATAAGTGCTGTCATCTAACTGGCATATGTTTGGTGTCTAAGCCCAGCAATACATTTATTGCTTAGTGGAGTGGAGTGGAGGCTACTTCCACAGAGAACTGATCTCAACCATTATTTGTTGACTCTTTTAAGTTATCATGCTTTAAAGGTCTGCATGCTGCTATTACTTCCATGTACACACACCCAGAATCATCTTCTAACTCTCTGGATTAGTAATAAGATGGGTTCGTGTGCTCTTTTTCTGGGAAATTGAAATCCACTGAGATTATGTGATAACTGTTTATTTGTCAGTTGCACCAAGCTAAGGCTCATTTTTCAGAAGGAAAAAAGTTCTTTTCTCTCTATAGACTATATCCACAATTTAATCAAAGACAATATGATGTGGTAGAAAAGGTCACAGACTTTGGAGCCAGATAGATATGGATCTCAGTATAAACTTTTTTAACCTATCAGTGTGACCACTTTCGGTGCTAACCTCTTTCAGATTCTTTTTCCTCATGTATGAAACAAGACAATGGTACCCAAATAGGAGTTTTGTCATTAGTTAATGTTACAAATCAAATGTGCCCAACATAGAGCCTGACATAAGAAAGGCTACTTCCATTTCAGAAAATGTTTGTTATAGCAACTTTCTGAATATTGTGCCAGAAGACACAATGTGAAATAGGGAATATTCTCCAAACAATGTGTTTATTCACCTCTGTTTAGTGAAGTACTAAAGGTGTGTACCTAGCACAGTGCCTGGCACAGAGTAAATACTATAGTTTCCAAATGTTTGTAGAAAGAAACTTTTTAGAATGTAAACCAATAGTAGCTGCAGGTCTAGTTAATGGGAATCCTGCAATTTCTAATTTTCCAAAACAAAACTTCACACTCTTGAGGAAGGAAGAAATTAAATCTTGTTGTAATTTATATTCCATCTGAGGCTGTATTCTGCTATGATCCCACCCAGGCTGCCTGTAAATAAATAGTTATAAAACATAGACCCTGATAGAAATTCAAAGTCCTATTGCTTACATCCACTCTCTGTGTTCTCCCTTCCATTTTGTTTTTCTCACGAGCATTATAAAAATAAACAACCCCTGCTGAGTTATTTCTGTCCCCATCCATTTCTTTTTAGAAGCTTAACAATTCAGGGGAAATAAGCTCTAATTTATTTTTTCCTCTGTATTTAGCAGGACAACTAATCTTGATTTTAAAAAGCTGTCTGGAGTGTTTGTTTTGGCCTTTCCTATTAGCCTGGACAGATTTCATTAGTAACCAAAACATAAAAATGCCAACGTGTATTGGCCTCCAGATTGGTGTGCCTCTCCAAAGCATTTTCTAGGCCTTGGGATGACACTGAAGCAAGCCTTGAGGTTGAATGCTCACTAGACTTATGTTTGAGGGTATTATATTTTATGTATTTCTCTAGGGATGTTTGCTAGGCCTTCCTTTATTCCTCTTTGAGATTGCTATATACTGATCTCCCTCTCACTCCTGTTCTTTCTTATGGTTGTAAGACACTGGTAGCTGCCTCAGCCTTCCTTACAATTCTGACTCCGGTCATTTGTATGCTGAATACGTGCAGCACCCTAACCTCTTAGGTATCTAAACTTGCAATGCCTCACATTGAAAAAAAAACAATATTCCATGTGAAATATCATTGAATGTGAGAAGAATTCATATGCTAGAATAAAAATTGATTCCATTTTCTACACATTGTGAAAGAAAAAGTAAAGATTCTGATGTGTTGGCTAGATCATGAAATCTAATCTATATTTCAAAGTCAATAAGAATGATAATTTGGAATCAGTTCAATTGTGCTTTGACTTTAGTTTACTGCAAAGTAAAAAACAGTGCAAAGGAAATACATAAGTTAAGGATAAGAGTGAATGTGGTTCCCCAATGTCACCCTACTTTGTCTGAAAGATGCACCTTAAGTTCAGTGGTCAAGGCACCCCTACAGGAGAGGAAAAAATGCTTCTTAAGAAAGTCAAAACCTTTTCTATGGCTTACAGGCTATATCAGTACTCAAGGGTTTACACTAGGTACTATAAGAGACATTCCTCATGATACCACAGTTACAGATACCCAATGTTCATAGATGTGGCCATGACTTTCTATATCAATTTGTAAGCTCCAAACTTGTTGAGGATATTAAAAAATAATCTATGCTAATTTATAAAAAAAACCATAAACCATCATTGTTATGACACATTGTGAAAATTTGCTTCTTTAGAGTTCCCTTTCATTTGCTCACCATGGAAGTGATAATGCTTAGTGCCTTGTCTATAAATAGTGCTCACTAATATTTAATGAGATGAGAGGAAATTATGCAGTTAAAATGGAGGGACATCTACAACAAGAACACCAAAAAACAAACCTTGTCAACATATGTAACAAGTAAGATCCAGTAACAAGATCAAAAGAAATATGCTTATGAAGAAAAATGTATGTGAAAAGTTGAATTGATCATCTTTTTAAAAGCATTATAGAATGAAAGAATACATATAAGGAAAACCAGTTATATAAATAATTTATACTCTTGATCTAATTGTGTCATATTGGACAAAAATTACTTCACCTTTTTCACATGAAAAAATAGGCATTTGACTATATAATTTACTAAGATTTATTAGATTTTCCACAGTATTTATTATGAGTAGTATTTTTATAAACTCATGAGGAAAACTCAAGTAATACACTAAGGTCGATGTGTTTTTAATTTACTCTGTTTTCTACAGATTGTTTTCCTAATAAACAATAAATTTTTAATATTTCAGCTGGTCAATGTGTATGTGGGAAGTTTGACAATTTAATTCAGTTTTTGAATGCTTCATTTCATGTCAGATTGGCAAATAGGAATAAAAACATTATCACCAGCCATCTCTGGCACCTCCTTTTCTAACAACTCCTGTCGATATAGGTGAAAATGATCCAGACCTCAAAAATGGGAAAGAGAATAAAGGGACAGAATTTCAATCCCTACTGTCAGTAGTGTCTATGGAAATCCCATAAAATATTTTAGCTTTACAGGAGGAAAAATTCAAGGCAGATTGAAAAGTTACAAGCATCTTCACATAAAATAATAATAACCACTGTAATTGAATATGGACAAGACAAATGAGAAAAGCAACCAACTTTCTGATGAAATATTTAATGGAAATATTACTTAATAGGATGAATTGCTGATCTGAAGATGCAAGCTCCACTGAGGAAGAGCAAGGAGAGCTCTGTGCTGAAGCTAAACAGATATAGAAGCTGTTCTCTTTGATAGATTAAGAGGAAGAGGGCGATAGCTAATTTAGTAGAATGAAATTTTCACCGTTTTCCTTCCTTTTTCTCGCTAGGATTCATTTCCTCCCTTCCTTTCCTTTTTTATATTCAAGAAAAATGTTTAATGCATGACAAACAGAAAGTGAAGACCCTCATGTATTCATTTATTCAGTATATTTAATATATACTTTAAACTTTTAAAAAATGCTAAATCATAGTGAACATTGATTCTGGGAGAAACTAACAAGTTGGTTTCACTCTTATCCCTTTTAAGATCACTCTTTCCCTGTTAATTTTTTTTTTATACGGAAAGCTCTTGGGGGTTTTTCTTCAAGTGTGTTGAATATTCTGTTGTTTCATGTTCTAAGTCATATCCATTATAGGACACATAATCCTTCACACCCAGAAGTTCCTTTACTCAAAGGCTTGCAAGCTCCTCATCCCTGAAGTCACTATTGAGCCTGGAGTTTTCCGTCATCATCACCTGCAGATCTCTAGCATGGGCTGGTTTAAGATCGATGATCTTCAGAATGAGTGGGATGCTGTGCATAATGGCTCAGCAGGCTGCCTTCAAGTCGAGGTGCATTCCTTGCTATTTTCACCATGCATTTATTGTGCTGCCCAACCTGTCTTCCATTGATTTGGGTCCATTCACTGTGGTGTAATAGGATATAAAAAGTAAACTTTTTGAATTGAAAATGCTGCCTTCTTCTCAACACTTGGCTGTAGCTGGAGAATCCACTTCCAAGATGTTGAAATTGCATGACTAGTAAATTGGTATTGACTGTTGGCAGGAGGCCTTCATTCTCACACATGGACTTCACACTGAGGTTCTTGAGTATCTTTATGGCATGACAGATGGCTTCCTCTAGAGCAAGTTCCACAAAAGGAAAAATCTGTAATGATTTTTATGACCCAGGGTCAGAAGTCACACATCATCATTACTGCAACTTATTAATTGGTTATACAGATCAGCCTATTTATTTGTGCTGGGCAGTACTACATGAGTGAATGAATAGCATGAAGTGAGAATTATTGAGAGTCATCTTGGAAGCTGGATAAGAGGGGTTTTAGATATTTTGTGTTGACAATGGTATATTTGTAGTTAAAAAGAGAGACTTTCAGATTGCATTATTATTACTCAAAAGTCACTCCCTTCCTGGACCTGTATTCATCAATGTTTTCTATAAACATTCCCAAAATCTCAGTGGAGCAGCATTTATTTCCTTCTTACATTAGTTTTCAGTGGCTGCGGGTCACACTGTTTCTCTATTTTGTTCTCTTCTTTTCTGCCTCGTATATTTTCTCACATTTCATTTGCCAAGCAAGTCACATGCCCAGGCTGATAATGGAACGTGGAAATATATTCTCATAAAGAGTATGGCAAGGGAGTGGATACTATCATCTATATCACTTATAGTAGCAAAATAATGGTCCTCAAAGTTGTCCATCTTTTAATTCCCAGAACCTGTGAATATATATGGCATTATATGGCAAAAGGAACATGAAAGTTGTAGATGGAATTAATGTTGCTAATGATCTGACTTTAAAACAGGGAGATTGTCCTGGATTATCTAAGTAGACCCATTTTAGTCAAAAGAGTCCTTAAAAGTTCTAATTTATTAGTGGGAACAGTTCACCTAATCATTGAGGTAAAGAATGGAAATTCGGAGGGTGTATGTCTGGCCTTGTCATAGATAAACAATAATGGCATTCCTAAGTCTTAGTCTATGAAAAGGGTGGCTCTTTGCAGTAAACCAAAGAGGCAAAGGCACCAAAGAAGAAGGAGGGATTAGCCTTGATTAGCCTTCACTGTGTTCCAGGAGTACAGGGTTCAGGTAAAACTCAACATTGTTAATAGTAAATTTGTATTGCTTAAGTAATTAAGTTTGTGGTAATTTATTATGGCAACAATAGAAATGTGATACACTATCCTTTCCAAGTGACTTACAGTGTTTTCCCATATTACGGACATAGCTAACCTACAACTATCAACATTTAACATGAGCAGGAAATAAATGTTGGTTGTTATAAACCATGTTGATATATTGATACTTACAGTAACTGCTGATAGAATATTATCTCATAGAGTTGTTGAAAGATACAATAAATATATATACACAAAGTGAATACATAGAGTGAATATATATACATATATTTACACAGATACATATATTTACACAGATACATATAAAATACATACACACACACGCACACATATAAATTGCCTAGGACACAGTAAGCACTAAATGCAAACAATTATTGATTTTGTAGAAAATATTGTTAGTCTCACTGTTATTAGACACTCCAGTAGAAATGCTAAGTTATTGGTTATATTTCTGTATCTAGAGTTCAGGGGAGAAGGCTAGGGCAGAATAAAATGAGAGTCTACAGCCTGTATACACCCTATGGTATTATCACCTTGGGACAAGGAAGAGTGTGGTGTTATTGGCCAAATATAACTAAGAGGAAAAACAGGAGCAAAGAATGTCCCAGAAGCAAACAGCAACAAGAAAACAAACACACACACACACACACACACACACACACACACACAAGTTCAAGGAGAGAATAATCAACTGTGTCAAATACTGCTGATGGGCAAGTAATACAATTAAAAATGAGCCATTGCATTTAGCCAAGTAGAGACCATTGGCGATCTTGACAAGCGATGTTTCATTGGAGTGGTAGAGATACAGTCTGATTGAAGTGGTTGTAAAAGAGACGAGAAAAATAGAAAAAGCAAATGTAACAAGCTGTTTTAATGAGGTTTGCTTTAAAAAGGAGGAAAGAAGAAAGGCAGTAGTTGGAGAGATATGTGAAGTTCAATAAGGCTTTTATTGTATTTGTTTTATTATTTTCCATATTGGAAATATAAAGCATATTTATATTACTAGAGAAATGATATACTTTATGAAATTATCAGGAGATGTTGATAATGTAGGATAGAGTGGAGAATTGCTGAAAGCATATTCTTTAAGAGGCCAGAAATGATAGTTCCTCTATGGTAAAAAGAAGGACAGCACAGAATTAGAATGCAGGCGCAAATATAGTAAACAATTAGACCGTGGGAATACACAGCCATTTTCACGTAATTGTGTTTATTTTCTAGTGAGAGAGTGAACACGATCATCAGCAGAAAATGAAGATAGAGGTGGGATTGAGCAGAGAGTCAAAGGTGGGAAGTGGTCATTGAGAAAGTGGAAGAGTGGGTGAAATAGAGCATGTAGTAGGATTGTTAAGCAGCACTAAAAATGCACTTAGTGTTGGTGGCCACTAATTTAAAGTGAGATCAGTCAGCCGTGTTGTTTTTCTCCACTCACATACATCTGAGCAAATGTGTAAACAAAGCAAGCAGAGAATTTGATATAACCAGAGTTGGGGTTTTGTCAGCTAAGTGCTCAAAGGAAGAAGAGGGAAAGGAAGTGAGAGTATGATAGTCAATGGTTTAGAGGAAGGATAGAATCTACAGCTATGCATGAAGGGATGTGAACTTGGAGGAGAAACAGTTCAAACATCAGATGAACAATAGAGTGCAGACTCCAACAAGTAAAAACACATAATGAAGTTATAATATTAGAACAATGTATTAGAAAGATTCAGATGAGATTCAGTGGAATACTTGACATTGGGATATTGCAGATGAGCAGTCATTGGAAATAACAATGGAATGAGTGTTTGAACTGAGGAAAATGCAAGAATGCTGGACGAGAAGAGGTCAAGAAAATGAGAGGCTAAGACTTTGAAAGAATTGTTCATTTGGAGGTTGAAATCTCTAAT
The DNA here is from genome assembly GCF_000001405.40 of Homo sapiens. Classification (NCBI taxonomy): domain Eukaryota; kingdom Metazoa; phylum Chordata; class Mammalia; order Primates; family Hominidae; genus Homo; species Homo sapiens. The sequence goes on along the minus strand of NC_000011.10, from coordinate 41,892,318 downwards.
AACTAAGAAATTAGTATTATTGCAGTGATGTTGAAATGTATTTATTTAGATCTTATTGTATTCTATGCCTTGGGGAGAAAGAGAGAAAGTTAAAATAAAACAGAGAAGAACAAAACAAAAAGAGATAATATATCTTTCCTCATGGACTTCTCAATCTTGTCGAGGCTGACCCTTCCTGAGGATATACAGAGAGGTTGGCTTCAGTTATGATGGGAGAAGTTTTCTTCAAAATAATATCTATCAATGATTTTTCATATGATTTAGTCAACTATTGGGCACCTTTTTCTATTAACCCTTTATTCTTTGCAATTGTGTAGTTTGACTTCTAATTCAAATCTATGATTGTACTTAATTTTCACTCATGGGAAGATTTTTTTCCCAGACATCAAATTCCAAACTATATTCTCTTTAGAGTATCATAAGATATCCTGCTAAAAACCAGGGGTAGGGGTGTAACAGGGGCAGTACTAGTGTCAAAAATCCCACATGAATTAGGCCAGTAGTCTTTAACTTTTTGTAAGTTGCAGAGTATAATAAGGAATCAGTGCAGATAATCCATTTACATGTGGAACTTAATTTCCAAAATATAGGCTTCCTCTAAGTCCTTCTTTTACCTAAAATGTGTTTTTTTATGAACGAACTAGATATAGAGGAGATTCACTGCATAGCATGTGCCTAAAGCATAGCTCTGGATGATATAAGTAAAATTGAAGCATGCATTGTGAAAATTAAAATAACATTCAGATAAAATACTTAAAGAAATAATAAAAATCTATCAAAAAAGAGATGCTCACAGCATATAGCCTTTATCCAATTGAGGACAACGAAAACAAGCAAATCAACCAACAAGCAAACAAACAGCTAACCTCGAATAGACATTTTTCTGAACAACTTCACTATGAGTCTGCATGGTACATCTCCCTTTCACCCCATCCCACATACACATACACACAATTAATGTAGACCACTTACTAGCAGACAGAGCCCATGAGTGAAACCCGGGTAAAACCTTACAGATTACCATTTCTTAAGCCACTTTCAGCAATCAGGTTTTATGCTTTTATGTTTCTTCAGCCTTTATGAGTTGTTAAACGTAGATAACACAGATATATTCGTGTCCTTGTATTACGTGCTCTTGAAAAATGGAGGCTTCCAGGTGCTCAAACTAAATACAGTCACTCTATCCTCCACTGGCAGAGATCTCATCCTGATATTAATTTCTAAGTAGGTTGGGCATCTCTTACTAACAGTGAAATTGAACTCCATCACACGTCAACTTGTTTGATTAGAAAACCAAAAGCTACTTTCTTCTGGGAAAATTCATGGTCTTCTTTTTGCCATACTGCACAAAACTAGGTGGGGTGAAGAAAATAATGGAAAGAAATTAAAAGAAACAACCTACTCAATAATAAAAATGAAAAGTCACAAAAAGCAATTATATAAAAGTTCTGGCCGGCACAGTGGCCCACGCCTAAACACTTTGGGAGTCCAAGGTGGGCGGATTGCCTGAGCTCAGGAGTTCACGACTAGCCTTGCCAACATGGTGAAACCCCGTCTCTACTAAAACACAAAAAGTTACTCAGGGGAGGCAGCATGCGCCTGTAGTCCCAGCTACTCGGGAGGCTGAGGCAGAAGAATCACTTGAACCCAGGAGGCAGAGGTTGCAGTGAGCCGAGATCACACCACTACACTCCAGCCTGGGTGACACTTCGAGACTCCGTCTCAAAAAAAAAAAAAAATTCCACAAAACTAACCTGCTACCCAGAATAACTATTTCACTATCCCAAGTTAATTTTTTTAAATAATATTGAAGCCTGTATCAAGGTCATGGCTGGGGTGAGGGGTGGGGGACATGGAAGAGAAGGGAGGAAAGACAATGAGAAAGTACATTCACAAGGAAGGACTGAAGGAGACTCAATACTAAGTGAAGAAATGGAGAGCCATCATTTATTTTTCTCTACCATGCTATACCTGAAATGTGTAGGCATGCTTTTGTGTATATATGTGTGGGTATGTGTATGTTTGCATGCACTCACGTGTATATTTCTATGTGCACACATGTATGTATTTCTTCTGGTTATGTGAATGTTTCTGTGATGCTTAGGGTTTTTTGTAGCCAAGAGCAAATAAAATTCCATTTTACACTTGATGAAGACCAACATTTGTCAAAGTTAGACTTTTGACTCTGGGCCTCTACTTATTAGTTTATATTGATACATAGGTATCTCATATAGAAAGGCAATACTATTGACACACAGTAACAGAGCACAGACTTAGAATTGCTACTCTAAGAAGGTTCTGCGTGCTTTTACATGCTGATATATATAGCATAACAGTTGAAGTTAAAGCCAATTCCAAAATAAGATGAACTAAACCTACATAATAAAAATGGATAACATTATTTAGATCTTACAATATGCCATGTACTATGTTAAGCACTTTTATTTGATTATCATATTTGATTGTCCCAAAAACCTATTAAGGGAGCTACTATTATTATGTCTGTTTTGTAGATGAGGAAGCTCAGATTTAAAGAATTATAGATGAGAAAACTCAACTTCCCATGATGATGTACCTGGATAAAGAGTGGCAGAGGTGTATGAAAATCCATCATCTTATTCCAGTGCTAACTATTAACCAGTGCATTATATTCAAGATAACCTTGGACCAAGTAGGCAGAGATTAACACTCATTGCAAACCACAGATCATTCTCTAAATGATTCCAGTCAGAATAAAGAATCTATAAACCCGCTATTCTAACAAGAGAGAAAAGAAGATATAGAAGATTATATGTATATATGTATATATAAAGAATATTTTATATATATATATATATATATATATAGAGAGAGAGAGAGAGAGAGAGATGTGACATTCGTGGTAATGCAATGACATTGCCCAGGAGATAAAACATAGAAGATCCTCATCAGCATTCACAAATTTCCTAAATATAATATAAAAATGCATTTCTTGCCATACTTAATGACTATCTGCTGCCACTTGGAGTGATTGGAGCTTCCTTTGCAGGTTTTTTTTGTTGTTGTTGTTGAAAACCTATCTTTCTCTCTCTGTTTGTCAAACCCAACAGAATCCATAAAACGCATTAAAAGTCCCATTGTGGAGCCAAAGCATTATTGAACTACAGTGACAAAGAGAATAAGAGGCACAGATGCCAGCCACCACAACGGAAGCAGCAGGTTCACACGTACTGGAAAGCAGGTATGTTCCCCACAGGACATATTTGGAAAAGCTGGCCACTCCTTCAAAAATTAAAGCACTTTTAGAAATCATATATATTAATATCAATGCCCTTTGAAGTAATATTTGAGAATACACAATAAAATATGGGCAAATCTCAACTGCAATGACATGTTCTAATAAAGGCTCAGAAAACCTGGTTTTGTTACCTCTGCACCATAATGTTGTTTCTCAACCTACTTTCTAACTCCAGTGAGTATTAGTCAGGCCCTGTCTCAACGAGCATTAATTACCTCATACCTAGGTTCTTTTTCAAAGATTATAGAGTGGTAGCCTAACGGCTAAATCACACAACTCACATAATTTTTTTCTGCACAGTGTAAGTATATAAATGCACATTATGTGTATTTATGTGTATAACATATGTACTTGTGTATATATATATATACACACATATATACACACTCATAATTATACACATGTATTCATTATATATGAGTGTGTGTGTGTATGTGTATATATATATATATATATATGTCAGTGCTTTAGAATAATAGAGATGCACTGTCTTCTTTGCCATTGTTTCTTTATACATTTACATTGCCTGACTGCAGCTTTACATACTTCTCAAGTCATTTCAATTGTACATGTTTTGTATTCTTAACTAGATTGGGCTCAAGGGAGGCATTCTCTGTTTCACTTTTTTTCAGGGCACAGGCACATCAGCTCTTATATTTAAAAGCAAAATTTTGTTCACTCATATAGTTTTAGAAAATTCATCATATTCTCAAAGGAGTTCACTACCCAGAGAAATTTTAAAGGTCTCATAAAGACCTCTAGTTCCCACTCATTATTTTATAAACTCTATTATTTTATGTATGGGAGGGAAGGGAAGTGTCTAAGCTAAAGTTGATACTAGAATATATACCATACTAATTAATGCCAGTCTAGGACTAGAATGAGGTCACCTGACTAGCAGACACAAGTGCCATTTTTACTACATCAATCTACGTTTAGGTTCTTCATCAATATTTGCTTCAATCTGTTTGGCAACAGCTAGGTAAAAGGATAACTGAATGTCACAATCTCTATTTTAAAAAGAGGCAAATTTGAATCATTTATTTTTAACTACATAAGTATATCTATATTGTCTGATTCTGTTCTGGATGTGTTGCTCCGAGGTCATAAAACAAATTTTCTTTTTTTTTTTAACATTTATTTATTTATTTATTTATTTATTTATTTATTTATTTATTATACTTTAAGTTTTAGGGTACATGTGCACAATGTGCAGCTTAGTTACATATGTATACATGTGCCATGCTTGTGCGCTGCACCCGGTAACTCGTCATCTAGCATTAGGTATATCTCCCAATGATATCCCTCCCCCATCCCCAAACCCCACAACAGTCCCCAGAGTGTGATGTTCCCCTTCCTGTGTCCATGTGTTCTCATTGTTCAATTCCCACCTATGAGTGAGAACATGCGGTGTTTGGTTTTTTGTTCTTGTGATATTTTACTGAGAATGATGATTTCCAATTTCATCCATGTCCCTACAAAGGACATGAACTCATTATTTTTTATGGCTGCATAGTATTCCATGGTGTATATGTGCCACATTTTCTTAATCCAGTCTATCATTGTTGGACATTTGGGTTGGTTCCAAGTCTTTGCTATTGTGAATAATGCCGCAATAAACATACGTGTGCATGTGTCTTTATAGCAGCATGATTTATAGTCCTTTGGGTATATACCCAGTAATGGGATGGCTGGGTCTAATGGTATTTCTAGTTCTAGATCCCTGAGGAATCGCCACACTGACTTCCACAATGCTTGAACTAGTTTACAGTCCCACCAACAGTGTAAAAGTGTTCCTATTTCTCCACATCCTCTCCAGCACCTGTTGTTTCCTGACTTTTTAATGATTGCCATTCTAACTGGTGTGAGATGGTATCTCATTGTGGTTTTGATTGGCATTTCTCTGATGGCCAGTGATGAAAAGCATTTTTTCATGTGTTTTTTGGCTGCATGAATGTCTTAGAACAAATTTTCAATGACAATGGCGACAAACATCCGAAGGAAGTGACTTCAGTTTCTGGGAAGAATGATGCTCGAGTGTAGTTATTAGTGTTGTCTTGCTTAGGAATGCTTGTCTCCTTTGAGTTACTGTGTTATGCTTCCTCCTAAATTTTCCATAAATAAAAGTATATTTTGGGAAAATGAGAGTGGTAGGGAAAAGAATGAGAACTGCTGTCCATTTTAGAGACCATCTGGTGCAAACCCAAATGCCATTTCAGCTGACCTAGACGTATTGCTTCAAGTATAATTTTTTTTCTTGTAAATCTTTTCCTAAGTTTCACTTCATTCACCTTAGATCACATGTACATTTGGTTGGGCCATGCTCATGCTGTGGCAGTGTATTTAGGAAGTGGCTCTTTTTCAGCACTTTTAAGTCTCAAGATTAAATACACTCCATTCAAAAAGATACAATCTTTTAGGCACTAGATAGTTTCAGGAATGCAGAACCTTCTTTACTAGGCTCATACTCCCACTCAAGAAAGCCCTTCAGGTTTAGCAAGTTCCACCCACCTATTGCATTTCTTTGAAAAGCACAAAGGATGAAAAGAAGTAGATGATCTCTCGAGAATGCTGAGTTTCTAATCAATTTCCTGCTGAAAATGACATCAAAAGTAAATTTGAGTCAATTTTGAAAGGCAAAGAAAAATCTCTCTGTTCCTTCTCAGTCAATATTACTTGAGACTTATAACCTCTTATCTCAAGCTTTTCTTAATTTTTTCTTCTCCCCTACTCTGTTCCGTTGAGGATCAGAGTTCAATCAAATGAAAACCATTAGGAAGAAATACGTGACAATTCCACACACAAAAAATATAAAGACTAAGAGCATTTAACAGACCAAAACAAGATCAGATGAAGCACGATTTGAAAGAAGATAGAAATGATGATACTTTCCATATTAGCAAAAATTAATAAAAGCCCCAAATAGACATGGTTCCTAAAAGTAAGTAGGACAGCTCTAAAGAACTAAAGATTTTTATTGAGTATCTACCGTGAATACTGCACTGTGACTGCATCCAGACAGAAATACAGGGGAATATAAACTTGACAAAGCCCAGCCCTTAAGTTACTTACCATATAGGTGAAGGCATAAAATATAGGCTTGTGAAAAATAAATATACAACAAAATGGTAAGCAATTGGTATAGATAGACAAGAATCATTAAAGAAGATTCCAGAAACCTCCCTGCATAGAGTATGAGGCACTTTTAGTATTTGTGGTAAAAATTTTTCATTTATATAATCTTTATTGTTATGAGGGAATTTCACATGCATTATCTTCTCTTATTCTTAGATTAACATCATTACATAGGTAGGTTCCATTTCATAAACAGGTGAACTGGGGATTAGATATTTTACAGAATTTTCTCAATGCTATATGGATGGATAGTGTCAGAATTTTGATTTGAACCCCCAGCTATAGTCCTAAACCGATATAGGATGGTCAAGGTAAATAAAGTACTAGAACTTAAAAGAGCCATTACTTGATTTACCAGTTACATACAGAATGATGAAATAGGTATTGCTTACCTGGCCATACCTACACTTCTATGAGAAAGCAGAAACCCTTTCTAGAAAGGTAGGTACAGACAAGTATGCAATACTATTAAATATGATACATGAGCTAATTGGAGGAATAATGATGATCAAATAACTTTTGCTGCAACTTCTGGAAGGCTTGGATTGTTACCTTGGTGCTCTCCTAAAGTAGGAGCATGTATTATACAGACATAAAAAGTGGTTCAGGACATCAAGAATTTGAGAATATTGGGGGAAACCAGTACCTTACCATAAAAGATTCACTATATAAGAGGGGGAAAAATCTTACCATTTGAGAGAAAAGGAGGCAATGCCAGTCTAGGTAGGGGTCTAATCTTTAAGGAGAGAAAATATGTTTTTAAATTTCATTGCTACCATGTTCTAGGTACAAAACATTTGAAAAGTTAGATTTCCTAAGGCTTCTTAAGCCTCATCTATTAATGGTATAAATAACCATATAGTAGGTACGTAGATGAATATTGCCTGCTGACAGCTCATAGATTTGAAAACACCCAGAAAGATGTTTTCAGACAAAAGAAGCTGCCCTATCAAAGCTAATGCCTACCAACGAGGCAGCCCATTAACCATGTCACTGTGGGGAGCCAAAGGCACACTACCTTGATGTGGGACAAATCTAAAGGGCCTTCTCAGCTTCTGAACTCTACATGGGAACAGCTAATATCTTCATTATAGCTCAATACTATTTCATTATATTATCATTTCATCATCATTGTTAGTTAATCATTACTTCATTATATTTCAATTTCTCCTTCTGACCAATCTTGCATTGTTCCTTTCTTCATAGGTGTTATAGAGGCCACTTTCTAATACACTTTCTACACACAGTTTTCCATTTGAATGTTTTCTAGTGAATCTCACTTAATGGAGTTGGTGCCTGGAGTGATCATAGAATAAGCAAACCCCAAGGTAGAATATAGAGGCTACTTTCTAATACAATTTCTACACACAGTTTTCCATTTGAATGTTTCCTAGTGAATCTCACTTAATGGTGTTAGTGCCCGGAATGATCATAGTATAAGCAAACCCCAAAGTAGAATTCTGGAGCTCTACCATCTGCTGTGGTAAGTGGAAAGCTGATTGACCCTGGGATGCTCTATTGGTGCAATTATAAAAACTTTTACTGGTGATGAACTAGAATGAATTACCTTGGATGGGAATGCCCTAGCCATGCAATGACTCAGGGAAGTTGTAATATCAAGGACAATGGAATCAGATGACATTATTATAATTTTTTATGAGTACATAGTAGGTATCTATATTTATTGGGTACATGAGATGGTTTGGTAAAGGCATGTAATGCATAATAATCACAGCGTGGAAAATGGGGTATCCGTTCCCTCAAGCATTTACTGTTTTTGTTAAAAATAATCTAAGTATACTCTTTTAGTTATTTTTGAATGTACAATTATTTTAACTATTTAACAATTATTTTAACCCTGTTGTGCTATCAAATACTAGGTCTTATTCATTCTTTCTATCATTTTTTGTACCCATTAACCTTATCTACCTTTCCCCACTTCCCCACTACCCTTCCCAGACTCTGGTAACCATCATTCTACTCTCTATCTCCATGAGTTCAATTGTTTTGATTTTTAGATCCCAGAAATAAATGAGAACATGTGATGTTTGTCTTTCTGTGCCTGCTTATTTCACACACCATAATGAACTTCAGTTCCATCCATGTTGTTGCAAATGACAGGATCTCATTCTTTTTATGGTTAAATCGTACTCCATTGTGTATAAATACCATATTTTATTTATCCATTCATCTGTTGATGGATGCAGGTTGCTTTCAAATCTTGTCTATTGTGAACAGTGCTGCAATAAACATGGGAGCACGGATAACTCTTTGATATACTGACTTCATTTCTTTTGAGTATATTCCCAGCAGTAGGATTGCTAGATAATATGGTAGCTGTATTTCTAGTTTTTTGAGGAACCCCCGAGCTATTCTCCATAGTGGTTGTACTAATTTACATTCCCACCAACAGTATACAAGGCTTCCCTTTTCTACACATCCTCTCCAGCATTTGTTATTGCCTGTCTGGGTTAAAAGCCATTTGAACTGGGATGAGATGATATCACATCGTGGTTTTGATTTGCATTTCTCTGATGATCAATGATGTTGAGCACCTTTTCATATTTCTCTTTGTCATTTGTATGTCTTCTTCTGACAAATGTCTATTCAAATCTTTTGCCCACTTTTAAATCAGCTTATTATATTTTTTCCTGTAGAGTTGTTTGAGGTCCTCATGTATCTGAAATCAGATGACTACTGTTCAGTCACATTGATGCATTAGAAAACCACAAGGAAAGGTTCAGGTTAATATGCTAGCAATTTAAGGTTAAGTGTGAAAATGAGAGTACCTACTACGCAACTTATAAAAAAGGTTTTTATCTCTTCCATCCTGAGGTCAGAAAAGCAAAGATTAAGATGAGGACTGAATCAAAAGAACAGCAAAGAAAGATGAATTCTCAGTCCCAGCAAGTCCACTGTGCCAAGCTCAATACCCTAGTTAGGAAAGAGTAGGACACAGAGATGTGGAGTGGGGGATTCTGGGTCAATACACTAAAAATTCTAGAAACCTAAGATTTCCCTGAAGCATCTGGGCATGCAAAAATGTCCCACTTTTTTTCTCTCACCACCCCTCCTACTGTTTGGAGAACAGGTAGAGGCTTTTGCCTTGTAAGATGATATATGCCTGCTCAGGATCTATGCCTGCCTTATTTCTTAGATGCCAAATATATACCTGGGATCAAGATATAAAACAAGATAACCTAGGTATGGAAGTCCTGGGCTTCCTGAAGGATAAAATGGATTATGCCCAGAAGAAGCTGCAGGACCCAGAGTACACATGCTAGCAGGAACCAGCAGAGCAAACATAATACCATATCTTTATGACACAGGATCAAAGGGAAAAAAGGCAGGTACTGGGTAGAAAGCTGGATACGGATAAGTTTATTGATAGGAGAACACTCTACTGTGACACCAGATTTTAAATCTCTGACGCGAGATTTAAAAAAAAAAAAAACTGTGCTTTTATTCTATTAAGATGGCTCTTATAGGCCGGGCGCGGTGGCTCACACCTGTAATCCCAGCATTTTGGGAGGCCGAGGCGAGCAGATCACGAGGTCAGGAGATCGAGACCATCCTGGCTAACACAGTGAAACCCAGTCTCTACTAAAAATACAAAAAATTAGCCAGGCCTGGTGGTGGGCGCCTGTAGTCCCAGCTACTCGGGAGGCTGAGGCAGGAGAATGGCATGAATCCGGGAGGCGAAGCTTGCAGTGAGCTGAGATCGCGCCACTGCACTCCAGCCTGGGCGACAGAGAGAGACTCCGTCTCAAACAAACAAACAAACAAACAAAAAAGATGGCTCTTGTAAGCTTAGACAGAGATCCCCCATGCCAAGGGAAGGAGAAATGACAGGATCGTGGAAGGTGTAAAAGATGTAGAACATGTAGAAAGGTGAATTAAAAGACTCATGGAACCAGGAAAAATGCTAAGTTAGTCATTTAGCCACTGTTATTAGAGTGGAATCATATAAAGGTCAGGTAATCAGTGGAATGTTTGTCCATATCTAGCTCATAGTGGCCCACTAGGTTCACAAACTCAACCAGTGGTTATTTCCTAGTTTCCAAAGGTATAATGGAAATGGACATTCTTGATAATTCACACAACTTTCACATTACATCCTGATCTATGGGGCAAGAACTATTGGAAAGAGTAGGAAAATGAAGTAAAAACCTCTAAATTTGCCATTTTTTATCCCCAACCAAGATAGTAAATTAGAAACAATATCACATCCCAAAAGAAATATCAGAGATTTGTAAACTCTGGCAGACCTAGAAGATAAATGTGGTAGTTTGCATTTAATTCACTGCTTATTCCCTATCAAAAATCAGATGCATCTCAGAGAATTAAAGTAGACTACCCAAAACTCAACCAAGTAGCACCTCTTATTGCAGCTGCTTTGATGAATATGGTAGGTGTATAAGAGCAGGCTAACATGGACTCAGATGTATGCACCCATTTATCTAGTAAACACTTTCTTTTTTATCCCTAGTAAGAAGGGAAAAAATAAATTGTTTATAATCACATAAGATGGACAAGAGATTACATATCTATTCTTGCCCAGGTTATGCTTAGCATTCTTACTCTCTCTCATATTACAGTAAAAAAAAAGGATTTTGACTATCTTATTCTACAAAACCTTATATTGACTCGTATATCAACAATATAACGTCAATGACATACGAGTAAAATGTGCAAGTATGCCAGGGTTCTAGGTAACACACATTAGATTCAGAAAGTGGGTGATAGAGCCTATGACAATTTAGGAATCTTTGAAGTTATGCTTGCCTAGAACATACCAGGAAATTTTATGCAAAACAAAGGGAAATTTCTTTTCTTACCCTTACCAATAAGAATAAAACATATCTGTCTGGTAGCATCTTTGGTATCTGGAAGCAGCGTATTCCACACCTGGAAAGACTGCTATGATTCATAAGCGTGGAAGAATAAATAGCATCTGGTTATCTTCTATCCGTACTGATCTCCTTACCAAACATTTTCTTGACCACAGTCTTGATATTCTCTTCTAAACAAGCCTTTTTAGTCTTCACAACCTGATCAGGCTGATAATTTTGTAAATCTTTAAGTTCCGCTCCACTTTTCATTATAAATTCTGTCTTTAATTCATTTCTTTCTTCTCATGTTTTACCATAAGCAGTCAAGAGAAGACATGGAGCAGCCTGAACACTTTGCTTGGAGATTTCTTTCACCAAATATACTAGCTCATTGCTCTTAAATTCTGCCCTCTACATAGTAATAGGACACAAACACAATTTGGCCAAGTTCTTTGCCACTTTGTAGCAAGGATGGATTTTCTTTCAGTTTCCAATAAGATAATCCTAATTTCGGTCTGAGACCTTATCAGAATTGCCTCTTCTGTCCATATTCCTGCCAGAATTCTGATTATGAACACTTAGATAATCTCTAAGAAGAAGGACGTTCTCTCTATAGCTCTTTTCTTCTTCTGAGCCCTCAACATAATTACCCTTAATGCTTCATTCCTGGCAACCTAGGAATTTTCTACTATACACTTCAAAATTGTCCCAGCCTCTACCCATTATCGAATTTAAAAGCCATTTACACATTTTCATATATTTACTGTAGTAACACCCACTCCCTGTACCAATTTTTGTCTTTCTAATCTATTTGTGCTGCTATAACAAAATGTATGAGAGTGAGTAATTTATAAAGAACCAAAATTTATTTATTACAGTTCTGGAGGCTGGAAAGTTCAAAATCAAAAGACTGGAATTCAGTATCCATTATCTGCTGAGGGCCTTCTTGCGTCCTCACGTGGCAAAAGGGGTGAACACTATGTCCTCACATGGTGGAAGGTGGAAGGGCAAAAAGGGCCAAATACTGTGTGAAGCATCTTTGTAAGGGTTTTAATCCTTTTCACAATAGAGAACTCCTTATTACCTAATCACCTCCTAAATGTCCCACTTCTTAATATCATACTATTTTAGTGAAGATTAAGTTTTAACATATAAATTGGGGGGCAGGAGGTGGATACATTTAGATCATAACACAGCCCTACTTACACAGCAGAGATGAAGAGCAACAGAGATTTTTAAATTCTCCCAATGGCCAGAGCTTCCTGCAGTGTACTTCTTTATCTACTTTAAATGGAAGAATAAGTGGCCAAAAGTCAGAATAAATATAGCCTCATGGACAGTGGCAAATGCCTTGGCTGATTGGTTAGTCATCTGAAAGGAGAAAGTTTGGAAGATCAGGGACAAGGAAGTCTGGGAAAAATTATGTGAATAAACTATGGAACTGAGGCTCCGGTGTGACTATCTTTGTATTGCATATTTATAGCCACTAGAGATCATCTACCATAAGAGAAGGTTTAAATAACTAAGAAGTCAGAATGACTCAGCAAGTTGACTGCAGCCAATCATTGTCATTGTTCATCCCAGTCCTGGTATAATAGACACACAAATGGAGTAAATATAAGGCCAGGGATGGAAACCATCCATGATCTCAACAGCATGGACTCCCTCTGATCAAAGTGAATGTAACCACCTCTGCTTCTAAATATCATACCTACCATACCAGAAAGAGAATTCACCACTGAGCCCTTTACATGGCATCATTCCTTAAGCCACTCTTTCTACCATTTATGGGTCAGTGATTCATCTTTCCTGGAATAGACACATACCCTGGGTTTGGGCCTGTATTTCAAATTTGCAAAGTCTAGTCCAGTACCGCTATCCAACAGCTCACAACTATGAGCTAAAGATCAGTTGGTCCAGCCTTGATGTCTATGCATTATTGACAAAGAAAGAATACAGTATCGGACAAACCCAATTTTCTAGCAATACAAGGGGTATAAGCTGGAATCCCTTCTTTATTATGTGTGTCAGATTCCATCACAACCAATTCATTTTGGATAAATGACTAGATATTTTGTATAAATTACTTTTGCTTTTGGAAGCCCACAGAAGGAAGAGAATTAAAACATTTTCATAAATGGTGGAAAGAGAATATCAAATATCATGTCATTGTTTTACCTTCTTAACAATTAAGTAGAATTTAGGAGAAGTGACATATTCGTTTAATAAGAAACCTGTTGGGGCACTAAGAGGTAGTCACAATTGTCATTTTCTGAGACACACTCTGGGAGCAGGGCATTTATATTATATGTGGTTTAGGCATTAAAGGCAGTCATGGATCTCATGGATGTGTTAATTCATTAATAGTGTTATCATAATAGCTAAAAATACATGGCATCTACTATGTACTATACATATATATTCCTAAACCAGACTGAAAGCTGCACGCATTCAGCAATTGCCTTAAATTTCTTTAGTTATTCTTGAATTATACTTCCACATTTGATATTTTGTTTGTAGTAAATATCTGTTATTTTGATATTATTGTTATAGTTTCATATTTGGTATTTTAGTAATGCATAGGTTTCATTATTCCTGTTACATTTCTTCATTACAAAAGCAACAGCATATCTGGTGACTCAATTTAAAATGGAATACATGAATAATGTTTATTTGCAGATTGACAACTCAATTTGATGTGCGGCACTTCCCAAGGTGAGTCACTAACTCTCATGTCATCAGCCCAGAACTTTCTTAATCTTTTCTGAGAGAAACTACGTCAGTTCCTTGGGCTTCTTTCAAGAAAGTAAAATTATTTCCACAGAGAAGAAACAATCATTTTCTAAGCAATAAGGTTATTGAACTACTTTGGCTGAGTAAATAACTCTGTTTG